>NC_000024.10:8145684-8446094 GCF_000001405.40 Homo sapiens | reverse complement strand
CCTACATTTACAAAGCTCATTGTTGAGGTCCTGAGTCCTAATAAGTAAATACAGCACAAAAATGAAATTGTAATTTTTATCAGAGAATCTGGCCACAGGTGGAATGGTGACTCAATTCTGGACCCAGCTCACAGGGCTAATAATGGTCTCCTCCCTGAAGCCAGCATGTGTAAGAGAGATGTTGACTGTCATATCTGAGCTTAGTGAAATATGTAAGATCATGAGTCCATATAAGCATGTAGGCCTCAGTGAGTTTTCAACTCTCATGGATGTTGTTTAAAGTTCTCAGAGGTTGTATAGAGTGTCACACAATGGCCAGCACCCACGTGAGTTTGTGACTGACATATGCACAACTAGGTAACAGTTAATGGTGTCACCCTTAAAGTTGAGGAGATTGTGTCATATCCTTGACCTGGTACCCCAGTGTTGAGACTTTTTGGTTCAAATTATTTTCCAGAAGGGCATGTTACATATCAATGGATCAGAACATAATACTGTGACTCTTCTGCCTGGGCTCTGCAAACAGGGGATATTTTCACATATCTCTGTGCCTGTTGGCTAGGTAAGATGTCTCTCCTGTCAGTGCCTTTTCCATAGGGAACTCTGTAACATATTGCTAGATATAGCATATAGCTAAGGTGACTCTGCTCTCCTGCCTGGATCCTGTCCACTGAAGAAATTGTGAGTGCAAAACTTGGTGACATTAATGTTCTCTTTGTCCTGAACTGAGTGCAAAACCTAGGTGACATTAATGTTCTCTTTGTCCTGAATTGTACCAATAAAGGAAATTATTACATATTTCTGAGCCCAGCACCCAGGTGGTGTGATTTTCTTTATTTTCTGCAAACTGTCTACATTGGGCATGGTGACATATTGCTTGAGGCCATACCCAGGTGGTGTGGCTCTTCTGCCTGGTTTCTGCCCACATGTTAGATTGTGACATACAACTACGGAAGCACCTAAGTGATATGACTGTCCTTTTCTTCATGGGACCTGCATACTGGGAACATTGGGATATATCTCTGAGCCCAAGACTAAAGTGAAGTGACTCATCTTCTGTCTGATTTTTACAATGAATGGATTGCAGAGCCCAGAACTCAGGTTGTTTGACTCTCCTTATTTTCTGAAACCATTCCCACAATCAGAATTGTTGGCCTATTGCAGGGCCCAGCACCCAGGTTACGTTCCTCTTTTGCCTAAGTCCTGCAAACACAGAGAGGTATGGTATATTGCTGGGGCCAAACCCTGTTAATTTACTGTCCAGAGGAGGACATTATATCATGACTCATGACTGTCCTGGAGCCACGGAACGTATTTTGACATGTCCTGGGCCCATCATGTAGGTGTTCTGATTCTTATCTTTTGGCTGGGTCTCTTTCACAGGTAAGATGGTTTTGTATTGCTGAGTCCAGCACCAATTTAATGTGACTCTAATTCCTGTACCCTGCCTAGGGAGGGTATTGTGACATGTTGCTTGGCACAGCACCAAAGAGATGTTACCCTGCTGCATAGTTTTTGCTCACAAATGGGACTGTGACATACACATTACTTGAGATCACAGGCATGATGGTCAAACTTATATTGAAATTCAACCAATAGGAGATATTTTGCCTTTCGTCACTAGGCTCAGGGCAATATGAAAGGTCCTCGGTTGCATATTTGTACAAAGCTTACAGAACATTAAAACACTTACTTATAACACCTTCCTTGGGAGATGCAGAGAGTTTCAAGACAAGGACCAGCAAAATGTTCAGATTGGGATTCTTGATTATGCACCTAAATGAAAGCAAATGTTTCCATCCCACATGGCCAAAGCCCACTGTTAAGGTCCTGATTCCAAAAAGTAACTACAGTACAAAGTTGGAATTTGACCTTCCTATGTGTATCTCACCACAGGTGGGATGGTGACCCATTTTTACATCCAGCTCACAAAAGTAATAATGGATCTCATCCTTAATCCAGCCTACAGAAGACATAAAACCTGGGTTTTAGGGCAATGTGTAAGATCGTGAATCCATACTAGCAAGTAGGGGTCAGAGTGGTTTGCCACTCTCATGGATGCTGTATAAAGCCTTCAAATGTTGTAGAGTGTCATAAAAAAAGGTAGGAAACATGCAAAAGTGTGGCTCTGTTATACACACCCAGCTTATATTTAATGGTGTCAACATCAGAGACAAAAGGTTTTGGCCTAGTACCCAGGTGTTGTGACTTTTTGGATTAAATTTTTTTCACATGGGTGTCTTGTGATATGCCGCTGGTTTAGAATTATAATAATGTGACTGTTCTGCCTGGGACCTGCCAACAGGGGAAATTATCCCATATCTCTGGACCTGTAAGCTAGGTAATTTGTGGCCCCTGCCTGTGCACTGCCATCAGAAGACCGTGAAATATTGATTGGCTTAACATCTAGATTATGTGATCTCCTCTCCTGACAGGGTCCTGCTTACCAAAAAAGTTCTGACATTCCACTGACTGCAAAACCTAGGTGAAGGGACTCTCCTTCATATTCTAGATGCTTGCCAGCAAGGGGATTATTACATATTGCACAGCACAGCATCCATGGGGAGTGACTCATCTTTTTCTTCTCCCTTGTCTATAGTGGGGTTGGTGACATATTATTTGATGCTATACCCAGGTGACGTGACTCTTCTGAATAGGTCTAGCCTATGAATGAGATTATGCTGTATCACTGGCTCAGCACCCAGGTGATGAGACTCTCCTGCCTTTTCCCTGCTCTCAGGTGAAATTGTAACATGTAGCTTGGTTAAGCACAGATGCATAATAATAACTCTCATACCTGGACTTAGACAGTAGAGATACTTTGGCTCTCAGAACCAGTCTCACAGCCATTGGGTAAAGTCCTGGGTTTTTCAATGTTATAAAGTTCACAAAGGATTATAACACTCAGGTACATCATATAAAGTCTTAATGTTACAAAGAGGATCATAAGCAAGAACAACAACGAGGCACGAATGAGACCCTTGTATGCACACCTAGCTGACATGATTGTCATTCTCACACAGAACAGGGCCTAGGAATGAGGTACTAAATCTCACGGATAAAAAGCAGTCGAAGGTTGAAATAATTACTCTCATTCAGGAATCTGATTCACAGATGGTTTTGTAACATTTGAACCATGATTCAGCACACTGTTGTGCTCTGACTCTCCTACTGGAACACAGTCTTCAAGTGGGATTGGGGATCTTATACATGGATCTGCCTCAATGTTGAGATTGTGACTTCTTTACTTCAACCCAACTCATAGAAAGAGTTGACTCACATAAACAAAACCAGGACTTGTGTGTGATGTGAAACTTATTTCTGAACCTTTCTGAGAGTGTGATTGGGACAAGGTAACTTTGCCCAGTGCATCAGCAATTTGACTCTCTTTTCTAGGCCCAGACCACAGAAGAAATTGTGCCATCTGTGGAACAAGCAACTAAGAAATAGATCACCTCTTTCATGGCTCTGCTTACAATGGGAACTTCTATATATCACTGGAACCATCACCCAGGTGATGTGAGTTATCTGCATTAAATCTGCCTACAAAAAGAATTCTGTGTTATATCTAGGTCTATCACGTAAGTATTATGGCTCCCTGCTACTGCTTTGACCCTTCACTTACAGTGCATTGTGACACACAACTATGTACTGAACCAAGGTGATGTGATTCTACTTTATGGGTTCTGACAACAGGAAGCATGGTAACATATCACTTGGCTCAGCACCTAGGTGATGTTTCTTGGCTTTTGCCTGTACCTTGACCACAGGGTGATTATGAAATAAAGCTACACTCAGCAACAGTGTGATGCCACTCTCCGGCTCTGTTACTGCACGGAAAAAATATTGTGACATATATCTAGGTCAATTGCCTTGGTGAAGTGAGGCTCCTCTCTTACCAAAATCCTGCCCAGAGAGGGGGTTTTGATATGTCACTGAAATTAGTATCCAGGTGATGTGACTCTTCCACCAGGGTCCTTCCCACAAGGTGGATTGTAACATCTCACTGGAACTGCACCCTCATAGGTGGTGGGAATTTCTTTCTTTCTTTTTTTTTCTTTCCTCTTGCCACAAGTGATATAATGCCACATACCAGAGATTATAACAGAAGCCTAATAACAACTCACATGCCTGGAGCCTAGGATTTGCGCAAGATGGTGGCTCTTAGTCTTAAGCCTTTCCACAAGGGTAATTGTGACATATACCTTTGCCCAACTACTGAGTGATTTAATAGTTCTGCCTAAGTATACCTCATAAATGAGTTTTTGACAGATACATTGGCCAAGCACCTTGGTGGTTTGACTGAGGTGTCTTAAAAATGTCCTCAGGGGAGATTGTAACATATTCCTGGACTCTTCATCTAGGTTACATTACTCTCCTCTTTTGCCTGTACCCTGCTTCCTTTGGTAATTCTAGCTTTTCTAAACACTACATCCAAATGATATCACTCCTTTCCTAGGTGCTATCAGCAGTTGGTATTTTCACATATTTTCAGGCCATCATTTAGGTGATATTACTCTCCTGTCCTTCCTGGACACTGCCCACAAAGGACATTGTGCCACAAAGCACATTGTTCCACAAAGCTGAATTTAGCACACAAGTTTTGTGAGATTTCTGATAAGACCCTGCCTACAAAAAAAAAATCAAAATACTTCTAGCTTCTAGCTCAGCATTTAGGTGATGTGGCTGTTCTGCCTACTTCAGAACCACAGATGGAATTCTAACATATACCTAGACATGGCTCACGGGCATGATAATGACTCTCATATGTGGACTTAGAAAATAGGGAATATTTTGACCCCTATTGTTAAGTTTAGGGACATGTCCTGCATCTCCTTCTTGTGCAAAGGTCACAAAGGATTACAACATTCACGTATATTTTAGAAAGTCTTTGGACTATGTAGACTGAGTCAAAGCAGGGCTCAGCACCCAGGCAAAATTGTGAGTCTTGTATGCACACCACACTGAAAGTAAGGACTGTTACAATCTCACATGAATGAAGGCAACTGTCACACATGAAAACAGGACATGTGTGGTATCATAAATCTTATCTTTGAAATGCTCTGGCTGTGTGATTGTGATATAAATCTTTGCCAATCACCTGTGTAATTTGACTCACCAGACTTGTTCCAGCCCACATATGGGATTATGATACCTACCAAGGCCAACGTCAAGGTGATATGACTCTTCTGCCTGATCATATCTTTCAGTAAAGATTGTGACATATCACTGGATCTAGCACCCTGGTGATGTTACATACTTTTCTGTGCCAGGCCCGCCAAAATTATTGTGACATGTTTCTGCACCCACCTCACAGCTGATGTAAGTCTTCTCTCTGAAATGAGAATATTACGAAAGAAGGATAGTGACATATTGCAAGAAAAGTCACACAGGCAAGGGTATTCCTTTGCCAGAGGATCCCCAAAAGAGGGCATTATGACATATCTCTGGGCCTATCACCTAGGTTATATTGCTCTGCTGCTTAGGCCCTTCCAACCTTGAGAGTGACATATTTCTAGGCCAGGCACATAGGTTATAGCATTCTTTTGCCAGAGATCTACTTCATAGTGGACATTGTGATATATCTCTGGGCCTATAATCTCAGTTAAGCGACTCCCTCCTTGAACCCTACACAAATAGAGCATTGTGGCATAATCAGAGAATCTGTACCTAGTATGATGTTTCTCTCTTGGCTGGGTGCTGCATTAAGAGCACCTTTGACATATCTAGGGATCAAGCACCCAAATGATGTGGCTCTTCTGCCTGGTTTTTGCCCACATGTTACATTGTGACATATTCCTAGGGAAGCACATACATGATATGCCTCTCCTCTTCTACCTGAACCCTGCCTACTTGGGACGTTGGGACATATCTCTGAGCCCATGACCTAAGTGATGTGACTCTCCCTTCCTGCCTGGGTATCCACAATAGGAGGATTTTGGCATATTGTTGAGCCCAGCACTTAGGATATGTGACTCTCCCCTTTTACCCAAACCATGCCCACAATAAAGAAATTTTGACCTATTGCATTGCCCAGCACCCAGATGATGTTAATTATCTACCTGGAATCTGCATAAACAGCTAATTTTATACATTGCATATTGCTGGTCCCAGCACCCTTATGTGAGTTTCCTGCTTGTGCTGGAGCTACTCAAGGTATGTTGAGTATATTAGGCATATTATACATATATTTTGGCTCTCATAACTTGACTGGGTTTTTCCCATGTGTGGGATTGTATCATATTGTAGCATGCAGTTAATATGAATCAATTTTCTGTACCCTGCCCAGAGAAGGCATTGTGACATATTTTCTGGCACAGCATCAAAATGATGTTACACTCCTACCTAGTGTTTTGCATACATATGTAACTATAATATATACCCTGATTCAGTTCACAGTCATGATGATCAAACTTATATTGGGATTCAGCCAATAGACAATATTTTGCCTTTCATTGTTAGGCTTGTGGCAATAGGTAAGGTCATGGGTTGCATGTTTGTACCAAGCTCATAGAAGTTTACACCACTAAATTGTACTGAATAAACTCTTTTGTGGTAGAAATTTTCATAATGTTGACCAGCAAACAGTTCAGATTGGGACTCTCTATTACACACCCAGGTGAAATTAGAAGTTGCCACCATCCCATGTTTACAAAGGCCGCTGTTGAAGTTCTGAGTCTAAAACCCTCACCAAGCAGTTTTTCATATGTCACTGAAAGGAGCTTCCAGGTGATCTGACTCTTCTCCCAGGGTCTTGCCCACCAGGTGGATTGTCATATCTCACTGGACTTGCACCCACGTAGATGATGTGACTTTTTTGCCTTCTCTCTGACAACAGGAGATATTCTGCCATATAACAACTCTTATGTCTAGATACAGGACATGTATAGGATGGTGATTCTTATTTTTAAACCTTTCCACAAGTGTAATTGTATATACATCGTTGTCCAATACCTGAGAAATTTAATAATTCTGCCTAGGTATAGCCCACAAATGAGATTTTGACAAATACCTGGGTCAAGCAGCTTGGTGATTTGACTGTGCTACCTTGATGATGTTTTCAGGGTAATAGTCACATACATATTTTTGAAGCTATTATTTAGGGTACATGACTCTCCTCTTTGGCCTGTACCCACCTTCCTTTAGTAATTGTAGCATTTCTAAACATTGCATCCAAATGACATGACACTCTTTTCTGGACCCTCTCAACAGGAGGGATTTCGACATTTTTGGGTTCAGATTTTAGGTGATATGACTCTCCTCTCATGTCTAGACACTGACCACAATGGAATCTGTGCTGGATTTAGCACACAAGGTATGTGGTATTTCAGACAGGAGACTTCGTGCAAAGAGAATACTGGAATATTTCTGGCCCAACATTTCAGCGACATTGCTGTTCTGCCTGCCCCATAACTACAGAGGGAATTTTAACATATACCTAGGCAAAGCTCACAGGAATGATAATGACTGTCATATGTAGACTCAGCAAATAGAGCATATTTTGACTGTTATAACTCAATTTAGTGACATGGGTGATGTCCTGGATAACTTTCGTATACAAACATCACAAAAGATTACAATGCTCAAATATGTTTTACAAAGTCTTTGGGTTATAGAGACAGAGTAAAAGCAGGGCTCAACACATGGTGAGAGTTTGAATCTTCTATGCACATGCACCTGACAGTAAGAACTGTCATTATCTCACATGAATGAAGTCAACTGTCACACAGGAAAACAGGACTTGTGTGTTATTGCCAACTTTATCTTTGGAATTTTCTGACAGTGAGATAGTGATATAATTATTTGCCAGGCATCTGTATTAATTTGACTCTCTAGACTTCTTCAGGCCAACATCTGGGATTGTGATACCTACCTAGGCCAACCTCAAGGTGATGTGACTCTACTGCCTGGGCCCTTCTTTCAGTAAGTGTTTTGATATATCACTGGATCTAGCATCCACGTGATTCTACAATCTTGCTTGAGCCACACCCACAAAAATTATTGTGACATATTTTTGTGTCCACCACATGGGTGATGTAACTCTCTTCTCTGGATAGGCCTTGCACAAAGGAAGGATAGTAACTTTGCAAAGCCAGACACACAGGTGATGGTACTTTTTGCCAGAACTATCCCCTAAAGAGGACATTGTGACATATCTCTGGTACTCTCACCTAGGTTATGCGGCTCTTCTACTTGGTGACATATCTCTGGTACTCTCTCCTGGGTTATGCGGCTCATCTACTTGGTCCCTGCCAACCTGGAGAGTGACATATTTCTAGGCGAGGCACACAGGTGATGGTACTCTTTACCCAGGGCTATGCTTCATAGAGGACATTGTGACATATATCTGGCTCTATCACCTAGTTGATATGACTCAATATTTTGGCCTCAACCACAGAGAACATTGTGACATGAAAGTGAAACCGGCACCAAGGCAATGTAACTGTTTCACCTTGTTTCTATTCTAAGGGGGATTTGTGACATATCTAAGGACCCAGAACCCAGGTAATTTAGTGGCTCTTCTGCCAGGTTTCTGCCCATGTGTTAGATTCTGACTTATACATAAAGAAGCACATAGGAAATACTACTGTCCTTTTCTTTCTGAGTTCTGCCTACTGAGGACATTTGGATCTATCTCTGAGCCTCTGACCTAAGTGATATTATTCTCCTCCCCTGCTTCACCCTTCAAAGTGATGAGATTGTGGACATATTTCTGAGACCAGCATTTAGGTCATGTGACTCTACTCTTTATTCTGAACCATGCACACAAAGAGCAATTTTGATCTATTGTACTCAGTTCATATTACTCTTCTGCTGCATTTCTGAATAAAGAGGCAATTTTTTCATAGTGGTGGGACTAGCGCCCTGATGATGCTACTGTCCTTCTGGTGCCAGAGCTACAGAGAGAATTTTGACATGTCTTCTTATTCTGAGGGTGTTTTACCTTTCATCCTTTGGCTAATCTTTCTCACAAGAAGTACTGTGTAATATTGTTGTGTCCAGCTCCCAGATAATAGGACCCTCCTTCCTATATCCTTCTTAGAGAAGGCATGGTGACAAGTTGCTCACCACATAACCAAAGTGATGTTATTCTTTTTCCTTTTTGTCCACAAATAAGATTATGACATATACTTTGCTTCACTTCACAGGCATGATGTTCAAACTTATATTGGGATTCAACCAATAGAAGATATTTTGCCTCTCATCACTAGACTTAGGGCAATAGGTAAAATCCTGGTTTGCATATTTGTACAAAACTCAGAGAAATTTACAACACTAATTAATATTGTATAAACTCCTTTGGTGGTACAGAGAGATTCATAACAAGGCCTAGAAAAAAAGTTAGGATTGTGACTCTCAATTAAGCTCCCAGGTGAAAGTAAAGGTTATCACCATCCCACATTTACAAAGCCCATTGTTGAGGTATTGAGTCCAACAAGTAAAAACAGTTCAAAGTTGGAATTGTGACTATAATTTGTGGATCTGGCCACAGGGGTGATTGCGTCTCATTTTTAGAGCCAATTCAGAGGCATAAAAATAAGTCTCACTCCTGAACTCAGCCTAAATGAGAGATGTTGACTATCACACCCAAGTTTAAGGCAATATATAAGATCGAGAGTCCATGTGAGCATGTGGGCCTCAGAGTAGTTTGCAACTTTCATGCTTGCTGTATAAAGCCCTCAGATGTTGTAGAGGGTGTCATACAATGATGCAGCACACACTTGACAATGTGACTCATATACACACCAAGATAACTGTTGAAGGTGTCACCCTAAAATATGAGGAGATTTTGTCTAATCACTGAGCCTAGTACCCAGTTGTTAAAACTTTTGTTTAAATTGTTTCCCTTGTGTGCATTGTGACATATCATTGGGGCAGAATCATAATAATGTGACTTTTCTGCTGGGGTCCTGCCAAGTATGGATAATACATATCTCTGAACCCATCTGCTAGTTGATTTTTCTATTTTGCCTCTGCTTTGCCCCCAAGGAACATTGTGACATCCTCCAGGGGTAACATTTAGGAAATGTGACTCTTCTCTCCTGCCTAGGTCTTACCTATTAAAGAAATTGTGACATACAATTGCATGCAACTATTCTCTGTATTCTGGAGCTGGCCAAAACAAGCAATTATTACATATTGCTAATCCCAGCACCTAGGTGGTGTGATTATCCTATTTTTCTTCAATCCTGTCTACAGCGGACACGAGACCATATTACTTGAGGCTGTACCCAGGTGACGTGAGTCTTCTGACTTGGCATGGCTTGCAAAGGAGATTATAATGTATCCTGAGCTAGGCATCCATGTTGTGAGACTCTCCTACCATGTTTCTTCCCACAGTTGAAATTGGCACACATACCTGGGTTGAGCTACCATGAAGAAATATAACTACCATACCTAGACCCAGAAAGGAGAGATATTTTGATTCTCATAGCAGCCTTATGGCCATAAGTAAAGTAATCGGTCTCCTAATTGTATACATTTCACAGAGGATTATGACACTCAAGCATATCATGTAAAGTGTGAGTGGTACAAAGAATGTTATAACAGAGAACAGCAACCAAATGTTATTTTCACTCTTGGATGCACACCCAGCTGACGTGATTGTCATTCTCTCAAAGCATAGGGCCTACAAATAAGGTGCTAAATCTCACTAAAAAAAAAAGCAGTCAAAATTTGAATTTTTTTCTTTCATACACGAATCTGACCAATGGGTTCTTTGGTGATGCATGAATCAGCAGACCTGTGAAGCTGTGACTCTCTTCCTGGAACACAATCTTCAAGTGGAATTGGCATCTTATACATGGATCTTGTGCATTGTTCAGATTGTGACTCCTCTGTTTTGACCCAAATCACAGGAGGTGTTGACTCCCATATACAAAGCCAAGACTTGTGTGGGACTATGAAAAACATTTCTGAATATTTCCTGTTGTGTGATTAGGACATAAAAGTTAGCCCCACTCCTGAATAATTGACTCTCATTATTTAAACCATGATGATGGATGAAATTGTGACATACATGGAACATAAACCTAAGCAAAGGTGCCTGGACCTGCCTACAAATTGGACTTTTACATATCACTGGGACCAGCACCCAGCCGAGGTAAATTATTTGCCTTATCTCTGCCTATAAAAGGCATTGTAGCTTATATCTAGGTCTATCATGTAAGCGATGTGACTTCTACTTCATTTGCCCTGCACTTATGGTGCATTGTGATACATAACTGGGTACTGCACCCAGGTGATGTGACTCTCCATTTTGGGTTCCACCAATGGGAAGCTTTGTAAAATATCACTTGGTTTAGCACATATGTCATGTTTCTCCTCTCTTGTCTCACCCTGACAGGAGGGGAGATTGTGACATATTACTAAACCAAGAGCCAAAGTGAGGTCACTTTCATACCTTGGTTTTGCAAATAGTGGCCATTGTGACATATATCTAGGCCTATTGCCTAGGTAAAATGAGTCTCATCAACTTCTTAAGGGCTGTCCACAAAAGGAATTTTGATATCTCACTAAAACTAGCATCCAGGTAATGTGACTCTTCTTCTATGGTCCTGGACACAAGAAAGATTGTGACATCTCACTGGACCAGCACCCACCCAGATAATGTGATATTTCTATTTGCTCTCTGCCCATAGATAATATCATGCCACATACTTGAGACCAAATAAGAGGACTAATCATGACTCTTAAACCTTAAGCCAGGTCATATGCAAGAAGGTGACTCCTATTGTTGGAACTTTCCACTTGTGTCATTGTGGCATATACCATTTCCCATTTCTTGAGTGACCTACTAATGCTGCCTAGGTGTAACCCACAAATTAGATTTTGATATATACCTTGGCTGAGTGCCTTGGTGACTTGATTCTCCTGTTTTTACAACATCCCCAGGAAGGATTGTGACATGGCTTTGGACCCATCATCTAGTTATCCAACTCTCCTCTTCTTGCTGGACCCTGCTTCACTGGGGATAGTACCATTTCTAGGCACTGCATCCAAGTGATCTGAATCTCTTGCCTGGTCCTTTCGACATGCGACATTGTGACATACCTCTAGGCCTAGCATTTCAGTGATAGGAGTCTCTTCTTCTGTCTGGACACTGCCCACAAGGCACATTGTGCCATACATCTGGTTGTAACCCCCATGTTATCAAACTATGCTGACAGAAACTTACCAACAAGGAGAATATTGGAACACTTCTTGCTCAGCCTTTGGGGGGGTACTTTGCTGTTATGGCTATTTCATTACCACAGAGTAAATTGTTACGTATATCTAGGCACAACTCACAGGCATGATTATGACTCTCCTATGTGGACCCCAGAAATTGGTGTAATTTTAAGTTTTATAACCTGCTTCAGAAACAGGAGTGAATAAATGACTTTCTTGTGAAAAGATGATTTTAACAGCCTTGGATATTTTATAAAGCCCTTGGCCTGTACAGAGAATGTAATAACAGAACCCAGTAGAAAGGTGAAACTGTGAGTCTTATATGCACTCCCAGCTGACAGTATGGAGTCACCATCTCACATATATGAAGAGAAATGTCATTCATGAAAATAGAACATGTGTGATATTTTAAATCTCATCCTGATAATTTTCTGCCAGTGTGTCTGTGATATAAATCTTTGCTGGCTAAGGACCTGTGTGATTTGACTCTTCAAGATTGTTTCAGCCCACAAAGTTATTGTGATACCTACCTGGGCCAACCGTTAGGTGATGTGATGCTTTTGCCTGGGCTCTGCTCTCAGTAAGAATTGTGACATATTACTAGATCCAGCACTCAAGTCATGTCACATTTTTGCTTGAGTCATGTGCACAGAAATCCCTGGGACATATCACTGAGTCAACCACTCTACTCATTAAAATGGGCCCTGCACACAGTGGGGGATAGCAACATATGGCTGGGTCAGGCAAAGAGGTAACAGTACCCTTTTTCTAGGGCCCTGTCCTAAAGAGGACATTTGACAAGCCTCTGGGCCTATCAACTAGGTGTCTTGGCTCTCCCGTTTGGGTCCTGCTTACCTGAATAGTGACGTATTGCTTGGCTAGTCACAAAGGTGATGGTGCTCTTTCACTAGGGCCATAATTCCAGGAGAACATTGTGACATATCTCTGCACTTATCAGCCAGATGATGTGACTCCCTGCTTGGGCCCTGACCACATAGAACATTGTAACATAAGGGTAGAACCTGCACTCATTTGTTGTAACTCTCTAGCCAGAGTCCTGTCTTAAAGGGAGCCTTGTGACATATCACCAGACCAAGTATCAAGGTGATGTGACTCTTCTGCCTGGCTTCACCTAATGTGTTAGATTATGTTATAAACCTAGGGAAGCACCTGCATAATATGACTGTTCTCTTATACCTGAGTCTTAACTACTTGGGACATTGGATCATATATCTGAGCCTGTGTCTTAAGTAATGTCTTTTTTACTTCTGTCTTTTTTTTATGGGTTGATGTGACATATTGCTAAGCACAATAATTAGGTAATATGACTCCTTTTTTTTTTCCAGAACCATGGCCATAAAAAGGAATTTTGATGTATTGCTGGGCCCAGCACTACGATGATTTTCCATTTCTGACACGGTCCTGCATAAAGATAGAATTATGGGATATTGCTGGGACCCACACCCTGATGATGTAACTCTCCTGCCTCTTCCAGAGCAACAGAAAGTATTTTTACATATCTTGGGCCTATTATTTAGGTGATTTGGCGCTCTTCACTTGTCTGGGGTGTTTTATCCATGTTTGGGATTGTGTCATATTGCTGGGTTCAGCACCCAGTTATCGTAACCAGCATTCCAGACCCTGTGTTGGGAAGGCATTGTGACATATTGCTTGGCACAGAATGTAAGTTGTGTTAACCTCCTGCTATTTTTTTTAACAAATGGGATTATGAAATTTACATTGCTTCAATTCAGAGGTATGATTATCAATTGGAAGTTGGAATTCCACAAATAGCAGATATTTTGCCTCTCATCACTACACTTTTGGTAATATGTAAAGTTATGAGTTGCAAATTTGAGCACAGCTAACAGAAGTTTAAAACACTAACTCATATTGTATAAAATCTTTGGGTGGTACACAGAGCTTTATAAAAGGGCCCAGCAAATGGTTACAATCGTGACTTTTGATTACTCTTGCAGGTGAGAGCAAATGTTGTCACCATCTCACATTTACAAAGCCCATTTTTGAAGTCCTGAGCTTAAAATGCAAATAAAGTAAAAAGATGGAATAGTGACTTTCATATGTGTATCTTATTGCAGGTGAGATGGTGACTCATTTCTGGACCCAGATGAAGGGCATAATAACCGATCTCCTGTCTCAACCCAGCCTATAAGAGCGATGTGGACTATCATAACTGGGTTTATAGCAATATGTAAGATCATGAGTTAATATGAGCATGTCAGCCTCAGAGTAGATTGCAACTCTCATACATATTGCATAAAGCCTTCGGATGTTGTAAAGTGTGTCATATGATGACACGGGACACACATGACATTGCAACACTTATATGTACACCAAGCTGACAGTCAAAGGTGTCACCCTAAGATATGAAGATATTGTGTCATATCACTAGGCCTAGTACCTCTGCCAATAGGAAGGTTTTTCACATATCCCATGGCTTAGCACCTAGGTAAAGTTTCTTCTGTCTTGCCTGGGCCATGACCACCAAAGAGATTCTGATGTATTGCTGAACCCAGCACCAGGATTAGGTGACTATTCAGCCTTTGTTCTTGACATAGCAGCCATTGTGTCATATATTCATGCCAATTTCCAAGGTGATGTTTGTCTACTGTTCTTCCGAAGACTTTCCCACGAGGGGGATTTACATATACCACTGAAACCAGCATCCAGGTGATGTGACTCTTCTTCCAGAGTCCTGCTCACAAGTAGGATTATGACATTTCACTGGACCAGCACCCACAAAGATGAGGTGACTTTCCTTTCTTCTCCCTGCCACATGTGATATTGTGCCATATACCTGAGACCAGACAAAAGCCCTAATAATGACTCTTGTACCTGGAGCCAGGACATGTGCAGGGTGGTGACTCTCATTTCTGAATCTTTCCTCAGTTGTTTTTGTGACATATACCTTTGTCCAGCTCCTATGTGATTTAATAACCCTGCCTACTTATAGCCCACTGATTACATTTTGACATATTCCTGGTCAAGAACCTTGGTGATTGGATTGTCCTGTCTAAAAGTGACCTCAGAAGGGATGGTAATATATCTCTGTACCCATCATCTAGGTTATGTGACTCTTCTGTCCTGCCTGAACCCTGCTTCCAGTGAATATTGTAGCATTTCTAGGCACTGCATCCAAATGTCATGACTCTCTGACCTGGGGCTTTCAACATGAATCATTGTGACATATGTCTGGGTCCATCATTTAGGTTATATAACTATCCTCTCCTGCCTGGACTTCTTCTTCAAGGGCCATATTGCCATACAGCTTTGCCTAGCACCCAAGTTTTGTGAATTTTCTGTTAGGGTCTTGCCTTCAAAGACAATATTGGAATATTTCTTGCTCAGGATTTAGGTGATATGGTTGTCCTTCTTGTTCAATAACCACAGAGGGGATAGTGATGTATACCTAGGCACAGCTAGCAGGCATGATAATGACTCTAATATGTGAACTGAATCAGTAGAAGAAATTTTGACTCTTATAACTATGTTAGAGACATGACGGTTGTCCAGGATCACCTTCTGGTAAGAAGGTCACATATCATGACAACACCCACACATATTATCACACCCTTGGTTTGTATAAAGAGTGTGATAACAGCTCCTAGCACACAGAGAAAATTGTGAGTCTCATATGCACACCCAGTTGACAGTAAGGACTTTCATTATAACAGACGGATGAAGGCAATTCTCCTATGTGAAAACAGGACATGTGTGGTATTGTATATCTCATCCCTAGAATTTAATTCCACCATTACTCTGACATCAATTTTTGCAGACCACCTGTGCGATTTCACTCTTCAGACTGTTTCCAGCCTACATATGGAATTTTGATATCTACCTGAGCCAACCTTGAAGTGATGTGACTCTTCTACCTGGGCCCTGCTCTCAGTAACATTGTGATATCACTGAACCCACACCCAGGTGATGTCACATTATTGTGACATAATCTCTGTGCCTATTGCTTTGAAGAAAATTCTCTCCTCTTTTGAATGTGCCCTGCACACAGGGCAGGATAGTGATATATTCCTAGACCAGACACAGAGGTGATGATAGTTTTTTTCCAGGGCCATGCCCAAAAGATGGCATTTTGACATATCACAGGGCCTATAATGTAGGTGATATGGTTCCTCTGCTTGGGACCTGCGCACTTGAATAGTAGCATATTGCTAGGCCAGGCAAAAAGGTGATGGTACTTTTTGCCAGGGCCATGCTTTAAGAAAGCTTTGTGAAATATCTCTGGGCATGTCACCTAGGTGATTTAACTTCCTGCTTTGCCTGCATACATGGAGCATTGTCACATAAGGGTGGAACCTGCACCTACATGATGTAACTTTCTTGCATAGGTACTTTTCTAAGGGGGGCTTGTGAAAATCTCAGGACCCAGGATGAGTTGATGTGGATCTTTAGCCTGGTTTCTGCCCACATATTAAATTGTGACATTTACCTAAAGAAACACCTAGGTGATATGACTCTCTTTTTCTTCCTGGGCCCAGCCTACAAGTGACATTGGGCCATATCTCTGATCCTATGATCTAAGCAACGTTTCTCTCTTTCTTCTGTATGTGGCTTTAAAATGGGAAGATTTTGACGGATTGGTGAGCCTAGCACTTAACTAACGTGACTCGTCTTGTTGATGAACAACACTCATAAACAGGACTTTTGCCATATTTCAGGGCCCAGCATGTGGAGGATGTCACTCTTATGCCCAGGGTATTAATAAGAAAAGAATTATAGCAGATTGCTTGGCCCAGCACTCTAATGATGTGACTCTCTTTTCTGTGCCAGAGCCATGGAAGGAATTTTCACATAACCTTGACCCTTTCTGTAGCTCTTTTGGCTCTCAACACTTTGCTGGATTTCTTCCATGTGTGGTTGTATCACATTGCTGGTTCCAGTCCCCAGTTAATGTGACCCTTTATCCTAGGTCCTGCCTAAAGAGGGCATAGTGACATATTGTGTGATACACCACCTAAGTGATGTTAACATTCTGCCTGGGTTTTATTTTTTTATTTTACTTTAAGTTCTGCATAACTTGCAGTATTTTTACATAGTTATACAGGTGCCATTGTGGTTTGCTGCACAAATCAAACCAGCATCTGCTATCTCTTCCCTAGACGCCTACCCCCTGACAAGCCCTGTTGTGTGATATTACCCTCGCTGTGTCCATGTGTTCTCTTTGTTCAATTCCCACCTATGAGTGATAACTTGCGGTGTTTCCTATTCTGTTCTTGTAATAGTTTGCTGAGAAAGATGGTATTCAGCTTCATCCATGTCCCTGCAAAGGATATGAACTCATCATTTTTTATGGCTGAATAATATTTCATGGTGTATATGTGCCACAAACATACGTGCACATGTGTCTCTATAGTAGCATGATTTATAATCCTTTGGGTATACACCCAGTAGTGGAATTGCTGAGTCAAATGGTATTTCTAGTTCTAGATCCTTGAGGAATCACCACACTGTCTTCTACATGGTTGAACTAATTTACACTCCCCCACAACAGTGTAAAAGCTTTCCTGTTTCTTCACATCCTCTCCAGCGTCTATTGTTTCCTGACTTTTTAATTATTGCCATTCTAACTGGCGTGAGATGGTATCTCTTTGTGGCTTTGATTTGCATTTCTCTAGTTACTGGTGATAATGAGCACTTTTCATAGGTTTTTTTTTTTTTTTTTCTTGTAAATGTGTTTCAGTTCTTTGTAGATTCTAGATATCACCCCTTTGTCAGATGGATAGATTGCAAAAATTTTCTCCCATTTTGGAGGTTGCCTGTTCATTCTGATGATAGTTTATTTTGCTGTGCAGAAACTTCTTTGTTTAATTATATCCCATTTATCAATTATGTCATTTGTTGCCATTTCTTTTGGTGTTTAAATATGAAGTATTTGCCCATGCCTATGTCCTGAATGGTATTGCCTAGGTTTTCTTCTATAATTTTTATAATTTTAGGTTTTATGTTTAAGTTTTTAATCCATCTTCAGTTTATTTTTGTACAAGGTGCAAGGAAAGGGTCCATTTTCATTTTTTCTGCCTATGGCTAGCTAGTTTTCAAGATACCATTTATTAAATAGGAAATCTTTTCCCCATTGCTTGTTTGCATCACGTCTGTCAAACATCAGATGGTTGTAGATGAGTGGTGTTATTTCTGAGACCTCTATTCTGTTCCATTCATCTATATATCTGTTTTGGTACCAGGACCATGCTGTTTTAGTTTCTGTAGCCTTGTATTATAGTTTGAAGTCAAGTCGTGTGATGAGTCCTTCTTTGTTCTTTTTGCTTAAGATTGTCTTGGATATTCAGGCTCTTTTTAGGTTCCACATGAAGTTTAAAGTAGTTTTTTTTTTCCAATTCTGTGAAGAAAGTTATTGGTAGCCTGATGGGGATAGCATTGATTCTACAAATGACTTTGGGAGTTATGGTCATTTTCATGATATTAATTATTCCTATCAATGAGCATGGAATGTTTTTTCATTTGTTTGTGTTCTCTCTTATTTCCTTGAGCAGTGGTTTGTAGTTCACCCTAAAGAGATTTTTCACATCCCTTGTAAGTTGTATTTTTAGGTATTTTATTCTCTTTTTAGCAATTGTGAATGGGAGTGCACATTGATTTATTATCCTGAGACTTTGCTAAAGTTGCTTATCAGTGTAAGGAGATTTTAGGCTCAGACGATGGGATTTTATAGATATACAATCGTGTCAACTCCAAACAGAGACAATTTAAATTCATCTTTTCCTAGTTTAATAACTAATTTTAGGGATCCCAAATGTCCTGAATCTCTTTCTTGTACAAAGTTTACAAAAAATTACAACAAGCACACATATTTTATAAAGTCTTTAGGTTATACAGACAGAGTCAAAACACGGCTCAGGACACAGTAGAAATTGTGAATCTGGTATGCACAACCAGCTGACAGTAAGAACTATCATCATCTCATATGGATAAAACCAACTGTCATATATGAAAACAGGACATGTGTGGCATTGTAAATCTCACCCTTGGAATTTTCTGACAATGTGATTGTAATATAAATCTTTGCCAAGCACCTGTTTAATTTGACTCTCCAGGCTTTTTCCAGTGTATATATGGGATTATCATATCTATGTAGGCCAACCTACAGGTGATGTGACTCTGCTGCCTGGGCACTTCTTTCAGTAAAGATTGTGACATATCACTGGATCTAACACCAAGGTGATGTTACATTCTTTCCTGTGCCAGGCACACCAAACTTATTGCAACATATTTCTGTGTCCACCTCATAAGTTATGTAACTCTCTTCTCTGGAATGAGCCCTGCAAAAAGGAATGACAGTGACACACTGCAAGACCAGGTACACTGGGGAAGGTACTATTTTGCCAGAGCCATGCCCACAAAAGGGCATTGTGACATATCTCTGGGTTTATCACCTAGGTTATGTGGCTTTCCTGCTTGGGCCCTGCCAACCTTGACAGTGACATATTTTAGGCCAGGCACACAGGTGATAGTACTCTTTTGCTAGGGCTATGCTTCATAGAGGTCATTGCGACATATCTCTGGGCCTATCCCCTAGGTGAAGTGACTCCCTCCTTGGGTCCTATGCACATGGAGGCCACATGGAGAATTGTAGCATAAACAGAGAACCTGCACCTAGGTGATGTAACTATCTTTGCTGGGTGCTGTCCTAAGAGAGCCTTGTGAAATATCTCAGAACCCATCATTCTGGCGATGTGGCTCTTCTGCCTAATTTCTGCCCACATTTTACATTATGACATATTTCTAGGGAAGCACACAGGTGATATGACCCTCCTTGTGTGCCTGAACCCTGCCTACTGGGGACATTGGGACAAATGTCTGAGCTCATGACCTAAGTGATGTGATTCTGTTTTTCTGCCTGGGCATTCACAATAGGAGGATTTTGGCACATTACTGAGCCCAGCACTCAGGATATGTGAATCTCCTCATTTTTTCCTTTCTTTTTTTTTTCTGGCTTATAAACAATAGAAATTTATTTCTCACAGTTATACTCTGGGAAGTTCAAGATCAAGGCACCAATAGATTCTTTTTTTTAAAGTTGATATGGAACTTTATTTATTTTATTTTTTTTGAATTTTTTTTATTATACTTTAAGGTTTAGGGTACATGTGCACATTGTGCAGGTTAGTTACATATGTATACATGTGCCATGCTGGTGTGCTGCAACCACTAACTCATCATCTAGCATTAGTTATATCTCCCGATGCTATCCCTCCCCCCTCCCCCCACCCCACAACAGTCCCCAGAGTGTGATATCCCCTTCCTGTGTCCATGTGATCTCATTGTTCAATTCCCACCTATGAGTGAGAATATGCAGTGTTTGGTTTTTTGTTCTTGTGATAGTTTACTGAGAATGATGATTTCCAATTTCATCCATGTCCCTACAAAGGACATGAACTCATCATTTTTTATGGCTGCATAGTATTCCATGGTGTATATGTGCCACATTTTCTTAATCCAGTCTATCATTGTTGGACATTTGGTTTGGTTCCAAGTCTTTGCTATTGTGAATAATGCCGCAATAAACATACGTGTGCATGTGTCTTTATAGCAGCATGATTTATAGTCCTTTGGGTATATACCCAGTAATGGGATGGCTGGGTCAAATGGTATTTCCAGTTCTAGATCCCTGAGGAATCTCCTGAGAAAAACAAGCAATGGGGAAAGGATTCCCTATTTAATAAATGGTGCTGGGAAAACTGGCTAGCCATATGTAGAAAGCTGAAACTGGATCCCTTCCTTACACCTTATACAAAAATCAATTCAAGATGGATTAAAGACTTAAACGTTAGACCTAAAACCATAAAAGCCCTAGAAGAAAACCTAGACATTACCATTCAGGACATAGGCATGGGCAAGGACTTCATGTCTAAAACACCAAAAGCAATGGCAACAAAAGACAAAATTGACAAATGGGATCTAATTAAACTAAAGAGCTTCTGCACAGCAAAAGAAACTACCATCAGAGTGAACAGGCAAACTACAAAATGTGAATCTCCTCATTTTTCAAAGTCATTCTCACAAAACAGGAATTGTGACCTACTGCAGGGCCCAGTACCCGGATGATGTTACTCTTCTGCTTTGTTTCTGCATATAGAAGAACTTATGGCATATTGTATATTGCTCAGTCCAGGACCATTTTTATGTGACTGTCCTCCTGTGCTGGAGCCACTGAAGGTATTTTGACATATCTTGGTCTCTTTATGTAGGTGTTTTGGCTCCCATAACTTGACTGGGTTTTTTCCACATGTGAGATGGTGTCATATTGCTAGGTCCAGCACCCAGCTAATATGACCAAATTTCCTATGCCCTGCCTAAGGAAGGCATGTAACATATTGCCTGGCACAGCATCTAAGTGATGTTACCCTCCTGCCTAGTTTTTGCCAGCATATGGGATTATGACCTATACCTTGCTTCAGTTCACAGACATGATGTTCACACTTATATTGGGATTCAGGCAATAGAAGATATTTTGCCTTTCATTGTTAGGCTTGGAGGAATAGATAATCTCCTGGGTTACATGTATGTAACAACCTCACAGAAGCTTACAATACTAACTTATATCATATAAACTCTTTGGTGCTATAAAATTTCATAACAGGGCCTGGCCAAAATTTCAGATTGGGGCTCTAGGTTACAAACCCAGGTGAAATTAAAAGTTGTCACCATCCCACATTTACAATGCCCACTGTTAAGATCAAGAGTCTAACACAGGAATACAGCACAAAGTTGGAATTGTGAAATTTATATGTGGCTCTGGCCACAAGTGGGATGGTCAGTCATTTCTAAACCCAGCCCACAGAAATAATAATGGGTCTTTTTCCTTAACCCTGCCTATAGGAGAGATGTCAACTATCAAACCTGGGTTTAAGATAATACGTAAGATTGTGAGTCCATACCAGCACGTAGGCTTCAGAGAGCTTTGCAACTCTTATGCACGTTTTATAAGTCCCTTGGATGTTGCAGAGGGTCATACATTGTCGCAGCAAACATGTGAGATTGTCACTCTAATATACACACTTAGCTAAAAGTTAACGTTGTCACCTACAAAGATGATGAGATTGTGTCATATTTCTGGGCCTAGTACCCAGGTTGAGTCTTTTGGCTCAAATTCCTTTCCACGGGAGCATTTTTACGTAATGCTGGCTCAGAATCACAATAATGTGATACTTCTGCATGAGTCCTGTCAATAGGGTATATTATCACATATCTCTTCTTCTATCAGCTAGGTTACATGTCCCTCCAGGCCTCTCTGCCTCCAGAAAAAAATTTTGAAATATCGCATAAATTAGTGTTTAAATGGTATAACTCTCCTCTCCTGCCTGGGTCCTGCTTACCAAAGGAATTGTGAAATACAGCTGAATGAAAAACCTAGGTGGTATGTCTCTCCTCTCTATTCAAATGTTTATTTCTGTGCTGCATTCTGCTTCATTACTTTCGTGTTCTACCTTTGTACTGGTACCAAGTGTTTTGATTACTTTAGGTTTGTTTTGTGTTTGGAAATTGTTAAGTGTAATGCTTCCAATATTTGGCTTCCTTTTAAAGATTGCCAGGATTTTCATGTAATTTTCTGGGTTATTTTAATTTATATTTTTGGGAAACTTTAATTTAAAATTGAAAATTGGCCTGTTGAATGTGTGGATCACTTTAAGCAGCATGGACATTTTTAGAATATTATGTCTTCCAACCCTTGATAATGAGTATGCTCAAAAAACTTTACTGGCCAGGCCTGGTGACTCATACGTGTAATCCCATCACTTTGTAAGGCCAAGGAAGGTCCATGGCCAGATCAGGAGATTGAGATCATATCGGCCAACATGATGAAATCCTGCCGCTATTGAAATACACACAATTAGCTGGGCATGGTGGTGTGTGCCTGTAGTTCCAGCTACTGGAGAGGCTGAGGCAGGGGAATTGCCTGAACCTGGAAGTGGAGGTTGCGGTGAGCTGAGATTGTGCCCCTGCACTTCATCCTAGAGACAGAGTGATATTGCATCTAAGAAAAAAGAAAAAAGAAAAACTGTGTTGTTATTTGTTATAATTTTTTTTCAGCTTTTCTTCCATTACTGATTTCTAGTTTCATTCCATTTGGGCTATAAATAATTGTCTGTAAAATTTCAATTAAAAATCATTAATGCTTCTTTCATGGAGTCACACACAATCCATCTAGGAAAATATTCTATGAGCTATTAAAAAGTATGTATTCTATTGTTGTACACATTTGTCGGGTACAAATATTGTATAGAGAATTCAAGCTTTGTGTTCCCTTATTGATATTCCGTCTTGCTTTATTTATTACTGAAAGTGGGATATAAATGTATCCTTCCATTATTATATTGTTTTCTATTTTTGCTTCAATTATGTCAATGTTTTATTTTACGTTTTTGGGAAAACTCTCATATATTTATAGAATCTCAGTAAATGAACTTTCTTAGTATAACTGAATGTCCTACTTGTCTCTTGTGAATTTTCACTTAGAGCAAATTTTACAAAATATGACTGTTTTCAATTTAATAAATTGTTGCCTCTTCTCCTCTTATTTGGTTAACACTTCCATGGCATGTATTTTTTATCCTGCCATTTTCAGTCTATTTTTTTATTAAGTCTGAAGTGAGACTCTTGAAGAGATGACATGGTTAGATCTTGATATAGATCATGATATAGTTGGATATTTTCTCCTTCATTTTGAAGGATACTTTTGCTGGATATAGTATTCTTACTTAGACTTTGTAAAAAGTAAAAAGTTTCTCATCAAAATTTTCCTTCTTTTAAATAATAAATGTTAGAAATAATATTTTCTTTTACAAATTAAATTTCTTCAAAGCCTTCCTGTTTTGTGCTATTGACTCTCTGTTAAGCCCTATTCTATGTAGCTGTTATATATAAAGAATAAGTACATTCCATGCCCTTGGACTTTCAACAAGAGATTTGTTCTGTACATGCTCAAGCATGTCCCAGTTTGCAGCTTATGCCCTTTTCTTATTTGGAAATGTTATTACTTCTCTAAGACTTTTCAAAAGCAACTTTCTCCTTTTCTTTGTTCTTCATTGCCTTTACCTATTTAGGAATGTTTTAGGTTGTTAGCTAATCAGGTTTAGCTTAGACTGTGATGTCCTGCTCAAACTAATGGAGATAGGAAACAGAAATAAGAACCCAACGCATACAGGATAAATATTCCTGCCTTTCTGTTTCATTGTGCTTTCATGGCAGGATTGCTGATGAGCAGCAAGCTTTCTACAGAAAGCAAAATTGCCTTGCTGAGAAAATTCTTTGTCTGAGTGCTAGTTCTACTTTTTGGCACTGAGGAATAGGCATTTCTAACAGAAGTTTTTCTTCAGTGTTTTAAGTATGTTATCCTACTCCTTTCTTCCTGAAAGATTTATGTTTATAAACTTACTGGTAAACTTGCAGAAGCATGCATATAAATAAC
The DNA here is from genome assembly GCF_000001405.40 of Homo sapiens. Classification (NCBI taxonomy): domain Eukaryota; kingdom Metazoa; phylum Chordata; class Mammalia; order Primates; family Hominidae; genus Homo; species Homo sapiens. The sequence continues at coordinate 8,421,457 of NC_000024.10, read as the reverse complement.
ATATCTCTTTTTTTCTTCCTGCATTCAAGATTCTCTTCTTATATATGACTTTCAAAGCATTTCTTATTTGGGGTCTTGTTAGAAATTTCTTTGTGTTAATGTTGGTTGAAATTTACTGAGCTTCCTGATTTTCTTATTTTTTTTAATAATGTTGAAGTTCATATTAGTCTTTTTTGTACTTCTACTACATAAATTTTATTTTTTGTTCTTTTTATAATTTTGTTAATTTCGTATTTGTTATTTCAGTTTGTTTTCTTTATTTCAGTTTTACTCATTAAGCATCATTCAGGTGGCAATTTTAATTTGTTAGGGTAATTTATTTTTTTCTTTTAAAAATAGATGTAGACTTTAATTGAAATTTTCTCAGGTAATTTTTACATCTCCATTTATTATCATTGATTTCTACATATTTATTTTTATCTTAGAGTGAGCCATCTTATCTTAATGTTTTGTATATGTTGTAATCTTGGGTTGCAAATTATATAATAAAATGCCACATGTGAAAATGCTTATTGACTTTTTTCTGGGGGAATATGATACCAACTTTTAGGCTAGAGATTCTTGAAGTCTCTCACACCTGTTCTATAGATGTTTTATCTAGGCTTGTGTGTTTTTAGTTAAAAATTATTCCGAATGTTTTTCTCTTTTCTTTTCTTTTCCTTTTTTTTTTTTTTTTTTTTTTTAGTTATAGTTTACTCTTCTTGCCCAGGCTGCAGTGCAATGGTGTGATCTTGGCTTACTGCAAACTCCACCTCCTGGAATCAAGTGATTCTCCTGATTCAGCCACCCAAGTAGCTGGGATTACAGGCACCTGCCACCACACCCACATAACTTTTATATTTTTAGTAGAGACAGGGTTTCACCATATTGACCTGGCTGGTTTTGAATATTTGACCTCAGGTAATCCGCCTGTCTCAGACTCCCAAAGTGCTGGGATTGCAGGTGCGAGCCACCACTTCTGGCTATTCCCTATGTTTCTTATTGAGATCCTGTAGTCAATTGCTATATCCATAGTCTGTCAATGATATCTTGTCAATGTCTTTCTTGTAACAGTCATTTACCCTGTCTCACCTGCCCCAAATTGTCAAAGAATACCACATTTCCTTTAAACACTGTCATAGAATATAGAAATTAGTCTTTAGTAAGGTCTCACAAAGCCAGAAGCCTGAACTCAGTTGCCACTATTTTATTTATTTTTGAAGGGGAAATCAGGAGTTGGGAAACTATACTTAAAGTCATCATAGGATGAAGAAAGGCTGAGAAGGGCAAATATACAACACTTTTATTACACTTCTATGTAGTTCTTGGTATTTTTCTCCCTTGAAGTGCTACAAATGCTTAACTGATTATTAGACTTCTCACAAAGGAATTTTGTTCAGCATATTTCTGTTAAGTTTATATGTCTATAAAGGAATTAGAGTCTGTGGTATTTTATTGCCACCTTGTTAATGTGATTCGTATAATTATTTAAAATGTATTCACTTGAGCCTTATGCTAATGCAAGAGAAATATTGTTGTTCTTATTTTTTTTTCAGCTAGCTCTTTTCATATTAGTCAGACATATGGCCAGAGCATGAAATAAAAGATTCACTTCAAAAAGTAATTCTGAGAAAATGTAAAAACTGTGACCTTAATAGTTTATATTTAAAGAAATACAGCCAAAGTGTGAATAACTACAAGAGACAGAAAAGCAGTTATAATTTCTTTCATCAATGTTTGTCAACTACCCAGAGCAAAGCCTGTCAATGTAATAAATTTGGAAAGCTTTCCAGGTGTGCTCAATCCTCAGTGAACATAAGAAAACTTTTAGCAGAGAGAACTGCTACAAATGTAAATAATGTGGCAGAAACTGTAGGTAGTTCTCAGATTTTACTATACAAATAATACATACTGGAGAGAGATGCTACAGACGTGAAGAATGTGACAAAGACTGTAAAAAGACCTCAAACCTTCCTGAATATAAGAGAGTTCATACTGGAGGAAAGCCCTACAAATGTGAAGAATGTAGCAAAACCTTAACCTGCTCCTCAACCCTTATTAAACACAAGAAAAATCATTCTGGAAATAAATCCTACAAATGCGAAGAATGTGGAAAAGTCTTTAAATGCTTCTCAGACCTTTGTAAGAGAATGCACAGACCTTGCTAAACATAAGATAATTTATACTGGAGAGAAACCCTATAAATGTGAAGAATGTAACAAAATCTATAGGTGGTTCTCAGACCTTCCTAAACATAAGATAATTCATACTGAAGAGAAACCCTTACATATGCAACTAATGTGGAAAAGCTTTTACATGGTTCTCAGCCCTTAGTAAACATAAGAGAATTTATACTGTAGAGATACCCTACCTCTGAAAAAAAAAAAAGACAACGCCTTTACCTGCTCCACAAACTTTACTGACCACAAGATAATTCATATAGAGGAGAGACCTTACAAATTTGAACAATGTGGCAAAACCTTTAAGTGCTTTTCAGACGTTAGTAATCATAAGAGAATGCACACTGGACTGAAACCCTACAAATGTGAAAAATGTGGCCAGGCATTGATTTCATTCCAACACCTCATTAGACATAAGAGAATTCATAGTAGAGAGAAGCTCCATAAGCATTAAAAATGTGGAAAGGCTTTTAGCAAGTCCTCATACTGTGTTCAACATCAGAGACTTAAATATCATATAAAGGTAATGACTGTTGAAGAAGATTTGACTTAAGAACTCGTAGGGTCTCTAAGAACTTGCTTTATAATCTGGGTGCTTTTGTGTTGGGTGTATATATTTCATTTTACTATTATGGAATGCTGTCTTTCTCTTTTTTTAAAAAAATCTATGTGGATTTTAAGTCTGTTTTGCCAGAAATTATGATTGCATTCCCTCCTTTTTTATGTTTTCCATTTATTTCGTAGATTTTTCTTTTTTATTTTGAACTTAACTGAGATGAGTGTCTAGATTACAGCATACCATTAAATCTTGATTCTTTACTCAGCTTTCCACACTGTTTTTTTATTGGGGCATGTAGCCCATTTATGTTTATCGTTAGTATTCATATGTGTCAATTTGATTCTGTCACTATGATCTTAGCTGTCTGTTTTGCACATTTTTTATGTGGTTGCTTTATAGTGTCAGCAGTTTATATAGTGTGTTTTTGTAGTGACTAATTATAGTCTTTTTTATTTATTGTTTTCTTCAGAAGCTCTTGTAAGACAAGTCTCAAGTAACAGATTTCTTCAGTGTTTGCTTATGTGAATAGGACCATATTTATTTATTTTTACTTCTGAAGCTTACTTTGGTTGGATATAAACTTACTTTTGTCTCATGGGAAGCTGCAGTATGGGGAAGAAACATGTGGGTTGATGGAGTCATAGGAGCTAACTTGCTGGAGCTCTTCAGGGGTCAGACATGGCCCACCAGTGCAGATGCTATGGTATGGGCTCCCAGGGTACCTGAGACTGACCTGTAAGAATCTGTAGCCAGAATGTGTCCCTTGAAGACATCAGGAGACCAAGGGGTGTTCAGTTGGAACAGCTTCTTCTGGTATGCAAAACCTGCAAAATTAGATCCAACAGTTTCTCTAGGGCTAAAATATCTTATGGGAGAAAGTTGAACCTACAGAAGTGGCCATCACTGGCAATATATTACTACAACTGCTCTTGCACCAACACTCTTGGCACCACATGAGGTGGCTTGCTACCCCATTTCCTTGCTTGTCTTCTGGGGGCTGCATCTCAGAGAGATGTAGGTCAGCAGCTCCTCACTACAGTCAGTCCAGGATGGAGGATCTGTGATTTGGGCTAAGATAGGAGTTTACTGTCGGGCGAGGAGCAATGGATAGTATGTGGAACCCATGGGGGATGGACTGGCCTCCTCTTCTTGGGCAAAATGCAGCTTGTTTGGGGTGTAAATAAGGCACTTGGGTTTTGGATTTTTCATTAGTCTAAGAAGCACAGTAAGGACAGTTCTACTGCAAAATTAGTGGCAGAAATATTTTCAGTTGCCCCTATAGGCTCTGTCCAGGAAGTTTCTAAGTTGCTACTGGCTCAATATCCCTACCAGGCCCAGACCTGGAGAACCTGCCCAGTGAGAATATGTGAGAGCAGGCACTCATGCAACAGTCTGGCCACTTTTCTGAAGGGCTGCTGCAGTATTCTGTCTGTCCACTGCAGTTTCCAGTCACTTCAGGTTTTCCAGTGCCTGAAGTTATCCCACTGAATGCTGCAAAACAGCAATGAAGGCAATATGCCCTCTTCTCTGGAAGCTCCATCCCAGGCAAGTATAGACATGTTTGCAGCCCAAAACACCTGAAAGAGGTAGCTGGAACACCCTATTGAAAGGACTTTTCCAGGAAGGAGAATTCAGGACTCACTGAAGATAGCAGTATAGCCACATTTTTGTAGGAGAGCTCTGCTGTGCAGAGGTACCACTTTCATCCCCATTTTATTTGGATTCTCCTAAGCTAGAACGCTGGAACCACTAAGTCACACAAACAGCAAATATGGCAGCTCACTCTTCACTCTGGGAACTTTATTCCAAAGAGGATTCAAAATGTCATTGATTAAATAGCATCGGTGTTGGTAGCTGGACACCCTGCTTGGGAAGTTCTTTTCAGTGAGGAGGAAGAGATTTGGGTCCTGCTTTAATAGGCAGTCTGGCCATGACTTCTTAGAGCACCTGCACTGTGCTAGGAGATCCTTTCTGCCCCAGTCAACTTGGGCTCTTCAAAGCCTGAAGGCTGGGATGGCTATGTTGTTGAAACAGCAAAGATGGAGGTCCACTCCTCTTTGTGGTAGCTCCAAATCAGAGAGGTGCAGTGTTGCTACCAATGGTTGGCTAGAATTCTAAGCCAGTAGGTCTTAATCTATGAGGCACTGTGGAAGTGGGTCCTACAGACCATCATTGCTGAGGTCCCTGGATTCTGCCTGTTTCCTGTGGGTATGTACAGGGGTGAAACATCCTGCTTTGCTGGAGTTGCAGCTACCTTTTCTGAGAATTCTGGAATGCTAGAGTATCTAAGCCTCTTGAATCACTACACAGGCCTGTGCAGCTGCTCTGCTGAGACTCCATATAGGTCTATGTGTTAAACTGAAGGCCTTGGTAAAGTAGGTTCTTTAGGGAGTCTCCTCACTTGAGGATTGGAAAGAACTGTGGGAGAATCATTGGTTCCCAGAGTCACACATGCACCCACTGCTTTACTGGGTGGGGAGGTTCCCTTGGCTCCATGTGTTTTTCGTGTGGCCCATTGTTTGGCCTTGCTTTACTCTACTCTCCTTAAGTTGTGTTTTTCTTTGATTATTCCCAGTGCAAGTACCTGGATATTTCATTTGATGGTTCTGTATTTATGCACACCTTGCATTTTTCTCTGTGAGAACCACATAGTTTAGCTGATCCTAGTCTGCATTCTTGATCCCTTTCCTGTAAAAGAAACCTACTTTTATATATTAAAACAATTTTTGCTGGACATGGAGGCTCATGCATGTAATCCCAGGAAGGCAAGGCGGGCAGATCACGAGGTCAAGAAATCGAGAATATTCTGGCCAACATGGTGAAACCCCATCTCTACAAAAAATAGAAAAAAATTCACTGGGCACAGTGGCATGAACTTGTAGTCCCAGTTACTCAGGAGTCTGAGGCGGGAGGCTCCCTTGAACCCAGGAGGTGGAGGTTGCAGTGAGCCAAGATCACACACTGCACCCCAGTATGGCAACAAGGTGAAACTCTCTCAAAACAAACAAACAAACAAAAGTTTCATATATTTTTTGAAAGCAAATATTGATGTCATTTAACTCTTACATTTGAAGCTATGTCTTCTTTTCTAGAATTTATGTGAAAGAACATGGTCAATGGTTGCTGCACTAGATTTAAGAAAGGTTCTCTATATTAGATGGACAGATTTATATACTTTCATATGGAAGTTTAAGTAAACTTAAATATAAGATACATAAAGAAATTCTAAGTAGAAAGGCTACTTAGTAGTTGGTTTACAGTAATATCATAAGTGACAGGGTAATAGGAGTGTGAAAAGTAATCAGGATAATATTCTGCATAGTAAGAGAAACAACTTGAAGTTTAGAAAAAAATTGCATTACCATTTGCAAAGTAAGAATTAAAATACAGTGAATTTCAAAATGCCTTTTTAATGGCAATGTATAAATTTAGTTTGTTTTTGTTTCAATTGATGAACATATTTGTTACTGTGGTAAGGCTGTTTTACATTGAAGTTTTATCTTGCCACTGATGTTAGGTTATCCCATCTTATGCATGGTTGTAGGTAACAGATGATAACTGTATACTATTGAATGACAATGAAATAACATCTCTCCAGATTCTTTGTCAGTGGTCTTAACTTAAAATAATTTGGATAATATGGTTCCTACAATTTATATTTCTGTTTTTCTTGTAACTACAGATAATTATGATGGTTGTTATGAAGATTATGAGTACGATGGAGCTTTGCATTTTATTTTTGAATTCTGAAAAACTCTTTACAAAATGTATCCTATTTTTCTTTAACAGATGATGTCTCTAGTCTGCTAAACATACGCAGACCTTTAGTTTTTATTTAAATGGACGTAAATACACAAATAAATCACTGTAAAATAAACATTAAGTGTAACAGCTTTATAGAGAATAATCGTATTGGTTTACGATTATGTACCTACTCTGAGTAGAAAAGAAAAATATTAGAATAAAACAGATAATTTTACAAGTCTTGGTAACTTACCAGCAAACCAGAAACTTCAAAAATTTTGAAAGCAAATCTATCATCTCTGCTTTGTATTAAACTCATTTATGTAAAATATTATTGCTCCTCTCTTAGAAACATCTTGTGCAAATTCTCCTTTTTTTTTGTTTGGTCTGCTTGCCTGTTGCTCACTACAGACATAATATATAAATTTCTTATAGCCTAATTTCATTAAGCATTACTTGTATAATTTTCTCAGAGTTGATGAATGTATCTTTGATAAAATTTAATGATGTTCACAAAATAATTTTCACATGTAATTTCACAATGCATGTATTATTGTATACCATTTATTCAGTACATTTCAATTATTTCAATTAGAAAATGATATTTAATCCAGTTTTCATTTAGTTACTGTTAATTTTACATTATGAAATTGATATAATTGAGTTTATTAAATTTATTGGGACAATTTATTTAAGTTAATAGTTGAACATTTAATAAGTCATGAGTTATTTTTGGCATAGACATGAAGTAAACAAGATAATACTAGCAATGTAATAGAAGCCTCATAATTAGAAATAAATATTCTGTTTGAAATTAACCTGTGGTCTCGGGTGAAAAATGAAAATATCTATGGTAAAGAAATAACATTAAATCTGCATATCAGGAGATCGTTATTGTACCTACGCTGCACAGTTGACTCTCACAATTGAAACAAATTGTGGAGTTGGACGTTTTAGGAAAACTAAGTGAAAACCTTGTAAAATTTTTAGATTATGTTTCTACATTTAAGCATCTACTGAGGGAGGTAGAGGGAAAGTCTATCCAGTCAAACATGGAGTGGCTAACCCATGTAAATAGTATGCACCCCAGGTATCAAAACCTAAAATTCCCTGAACTCTTTTTATTTAAATTAAGAAAATATGATTTTAATCTCCCACCTCTATATTCTGGCTTAGACAGAATTACCAAGCCATTTTTTTATATTTGATTTGATTCTAGATTTTTCTTTTCTTTTCTTTCCATTTTTTTTTTTTTTTGGAAATGGAGTCTTGCTCTGTTGCCCAGGCTGGAGTGCAGTGGTGTGATCTCAGCGTACTGCAACCTCCACCTCCCAGGTTAAAGTGATTCTCTTGCATCAGCCTCCTAAGTAGATGAGACTACATGCGCCCATCACTACGCCTGGTTAATTTTTGTGTGTTTTTAACAGAAATGAGATTTCACTGTGTTAGCCAGGATGGTCGATCTCCTGATCTCCTGGTCCACCCATCTCGGCCTCCCAAATTGCTGGGATTACAGGCATAAGCCACCATGCCAAGCCTTGATTCTAGATCCTGACACAACACATCCTCAATTTTTTCTCTGAGGACAGAAAAACTGTGTGATATGGAATAATAGTACCAAACATTTGTTATAACCAAAGGATATTTTATTTCTGCCCAGCTGTCCTGGGCTCTTAGAATTGTAGCTCTTCCTAGAAACTGGCAGGATCAATTGGGTGACATATGAAGAGTGGTTTCACTGGACCAGGTCCTAAGAAAACCTGGTTTCTGCCAGTAGTAATACCTAGTAAGATTTTTTTTTTGGACTATGAATTGGGTGATTTTTTAAATAATATAAATGATAGGTTTGTTCTGTTTATTTTTAATGATTCTTTCAAAATAGCTGTGTGGCTTTATTTCTATAATGAAGTAAATTCTGAATGTCTTATAATCTGTTCATTATTGGAGAGTAAACAATAAAGAACAAGTAAATGAATCTGTCTCAGTTTTTGTGAATATTTTAATCAGTAAATTTAATCACATTTCTATAATCTTTACGTTTTACTACTGAAGACTAAATAGATTTTTTCTTCTTTCTGGAAACTATAAAAGCATGTTCATAATGTCACTTTCATAGATACTGTGACTATCAACCTTCAAGTGTTTTGGTTTCTAAAATAAAATATTTTAGAATTATATTACCCAACATGTTCAATGAAATGTTTTTAAGTTGGCTATTTAAAAAATATGTCAATTTTGAATTGCATACATAGCTAAAATTTTCTTAAGACGGAGAATAAGATACAAAATAATTCATACAAATAATAGAATAGAGATCTCTCAACTACCCTGATATTTAAGAGTCATGTATAAATAGTACCAGATCTAGGAGGAGGCTGTCACATATTCAGATTCTTTTTGGGTCTCCATTCCAAAAGATATGTTAAAATTACAAGGAAAATAAGATGCAAACCTGACAGTTCTTCCTTGTAAACGACAGCCTCAGCCTGGCCACCATGAACCACAATTTCAGGTTCTGGTTCAGCACATCTAACCTTGGAAAATAGTTGAACTGGGGCCTCAGAATGTCCAATGAAAATCTTGAGAATGGAAACCTTAGCCACGTGAACATAACTGTAACAGGAACAAACCCTACCAACTAAGAAGCCATCTCTTTAACTTAGAAAACTGTACCAGCAATGTGTGCACATAACAGCCTTTTCAGATAAACACTGGTCAATCCAACATTCAAGAAAAAGAAAAAAAAAAAGGAATCTAGAAGTTCAGGAAGAAGAACCTCCACTGCCTGAACCAGCCTGTATGATGGATGCAATTGAGAGTAGTAACTTGATTAGCGCATACCTCAAGACTGATCCTATATAAAAAATGCTTCTGAGTGTTCAGAGGTTCAAGCTAAAAAATATATTAATTGACTGGCCAGGGATGGTGGGTCACGCCTGTACTCCCAACATTTTGGGAGGCTGAATCAGGCATATCACCTGAGGTCAGGAGTTCGAGACCAGCCTCATCAACATGGAGAATCCTCATCTCTACTAAAATATAAAGTTAGGCAGGTGTGGTGGCAAATGCTTGTAATCCCAGATACTCAGAAAGCTGAGGCAGGATAATCACTTGAACCTGGGAGGCACAGGTTTTGGTGAGCTGAGATTGTGCCAACACACTCCAGCTTGAGGGACAAGAGTGAAACATCATTTCAAAAAAAACATTCTAGGGTTGCAATCCTAGTCTCCGGTATAACAGACTTTAAACCAACAAAGATCAAAAGAGACAAAGAAGGCCATTACATAATGGAAAAGGGATCAATTCAACAAGAAAAGCTAACTATCCTAAACATATATGCGCCAATACAGGAACACACAGATTCATAAAGCAAGTCCTTAGAGACCTATAAAGAGACTTAGACCCCCACACAATAATAACGGGAGATTTTACCACCCCAATGTCAACATGAGACAGATCAACAAGACAGAAAGTTAACAAGGATATCCAGGAATTGAACTCAGATCTGCACTAAGTGGACCTAATACACATCTACAGAACTCTCCACCCAAAATCAACAGAATATACATTCTTCTCAGCACCACACTGCACTTATTCCAAAACTGAACACAGAGTTGGAAGTAAAGCTCTCCTCAGCAAATGTAAAAGAACAGAAATTATAACAAATTGTCTCTCAGACCACAGTGCAATCAAACTAGAACTCTGGATTAAGAAATTCACTCAAAACCACTCAACTACATGGAAAGTGAACAACCTGCTCCTGAGTGACTACTGGCTACATAATGAAATGCAGGCAGAAATAAAGATGTACTTTGAAACCAAAGAGAACAAAGACACAACATACCAGAATCTCTGGGACACATTCAAAGCAGTATGTAGAGGGAAATTTATAGCACTAAGTGCCCACAAGAGAAATCAGGAAAGATCTAAAATTGACACCCTAACATCACAATTAAAAGAACTAGATAAACAAGAGCAAATTCAAAAGCTAGCAGAAGGCAAGAAATAACTAAGATCAGAGCAGAACTGAAGGAAATATAGACACAGAAAAATCAAAAAATCAATGAATCCAGGAGCTGGTTTTTGTAAAAGATCAACAAAATTGATAGACTGTTAGCAAGACTAATAAAGAAGAAAAGAGAGAAGAATCAAATAGATGCAATAAAAAATGCTAAAGGGGTTATCACCACCGATCCCACAGAAATACAAACTACCATCAGAGAATACTATAAACACCTCTACACAAATAAACTAGAAAATCTAGAAGAAATGGATAAATTCCTCGACACACACATCCTCCCAAGACTAAACCAGGAAGAAGTTGAGTCTCTGAATAGACCAATAACAGGCTCTGAAATTGAGGCAATAATTAATAGCTTTCCAACAAAAAAAGTCCAGGACCAGTTGGATGCACAGGCAAATTCTACCAAGGTACAAGGAGGAGTTGGTACCATTCCGTCTGAAACTATTCCAATCAATAGAAAAAGAGGGAATCCTCCCTAACTCATTTTATGAGGCCAGCATTATCCTGATACCAAAGCCTGGCAAAGACACAACAAAAAAAGAGAATTTTAGACCAATATCCCTGATGAACATTGATGCAAAAATCCTTAATAAAATACTGGCAAACTGAATCCAGCAGCAAATCAAAAAGCTTATCCACCATGATCAAGCAGGCTTCATCCCTGGGATGCAAAGCTGGTTGAACATATACAAATCAATGAACATAATTCATCATATAAACCGAACCAACGACAAAAACCACGATTATCTCAATAGATGCAGAAAGGCCTTTGACAAAATTCAACAACTCTCATGCTAAAAACTCTCAATAAATTAGGTATTGATGGGACATATCTCAAAATAATAAGAGCTATCTATGACAAACCCACAGCCAATATCATACTGAATGGGCAAAAAACTGGAAGCATTCCCTTTGAAAACTGGCACAAGACAGGGATGCCCTCTCTCACCACTCCTATTCAACATTGTGTTGGAAGTTCTGGCCAGGGCAATTAGGCAGGAGAAGGAAATAAAGGGTATTCAACTAGGAAAAGAGGAAGTAAAATTGTCCCTGTTTGCAGAGGACATGATGGTATATCTAGAAAACCCCATCGTCTCAGCCCAAAATCTCCTTAAGCTGATAGGCAAATTCAGCAAAGTCTTAGGATACAAAATCAATGTGCAAAAATTACAGGCATTCTTATACACCAATAACAGGCAAACAGAGAGCCAAATCATGAGTGGATTCCCTCCCATTCACAATTGCTTCAAAGAGAACAAAATTCCTAGGAATCCAACCTACAAGGGATGTGAAGGAACTCTTCAAGGAGAATTACAAACCACTGCTTAATGAAATAAAAGAGGATACAAACAAATGGAAGAACATTCCATGCTCATGGGTAGGAAGAATCAATATCGTGAAAATGGCCATACTGCCCAAGGTAATTTACAGATTCAATGCCATCCCCATGAAGCTACCAATGATTTTCTTCACAGAATTGGAAAAAACTTCTTTAAAGTTCATATGAAACCAAAAAAGAGCCCGCATTGCCAAGTCAATCCTAAGCCATAAGAACAAAGCTGGAGGCATCACGCTACCTTACTTCAAACTATACTACAAGGCTACAGTAACCAAAACAGCATGGTACTGGTACCAAAACAGATATATAGACCAATGAAACAGAACAGAGCCCTCAGAAATAATGCCACATATCTAAAACCATCTGATCTTTGACAAACCTGACAAAAACAAGAAATGTAGAAATGATTCCCTATTTAATAAATGTTACTGGGAAAACTGGCTAGCCATACATAGAAAGCTGAAATTGGATCCCTTCCTTAAACCTTATACAAAAATTAATTCAAGATGGATTAAGGACTTACATGTTAGACCTCAAATCATGAAAACCCTAGAAGAAAACCTAGGTAATACCATTCGGGACATAGGTATGGGCAAGGACTTCATGTCTAAAACACCAAAAGCAATGGCAACAAAAGCCAAAACTGACAAATGGGATCTAATTAAACTGAAGAGCTTCTGCACAGCAAAAGAAACTACCATCAGAGTGAACAGGCAACCTACGGAATGGGAGAAAATTTTTGCAATCTACTCATCTGACAAAGGGCTAATATCCAGATGCTACAATGAACATAAATGAATTTACAAGAAAAAAACAAACAACCCCATCAAAAAGTGGGTGAAGGATATGAACAGACACTTCTCAAAAGAAGACATTTATGCAACCAAAAGACACATGAAAAAATGCTCATCATCACTGGCCATCAGAGAAATGCAAGTCAAAACCACAATGAGATATCGTCTCACACCGGTTAGAATGGTGATCATTAAAAAGTCAGGAAACAACAGGTGCTGGAGAGGATGTGGAGAAATAGGAACACTTTTACACTGTTGGTGGGACTGTAAACTAGTTCAAACATTGTGGAAGTCGAAGTGGCCATTCCTCAGGGATCTAGAACTAGAAATATCATTTGACCCAGCCATCCCATTACTGGGTATATACCCAAAGGATTATAAATCATGCTGCTATAAAGACACATGAACACATATGTTTATTGTGGCACTATTCACCATAGCAAAGACTTGGAACCAACCCAAATGTCCAACACTGATAGACTGGATTAAGAAAATGTGGCACATGTACACCATGGAATACTATGCAGCCATAAAAAATGATGAGTTCGTGTCCTTTGTAGGGACATAGATGAAGCTGCAAACCCTCATTCTCAGCAAACTATCGCAAGGACAAAAACCAAACACCGCATGTTCTCATTCATAGGTGGGAATTGAACAATGTGAACACGTGAACACAGGAAGGGAAACATCACACACCAGGGCCTGTTGTGGGTTGAGGGGCCGGGGGAGGATAGCATTTGGAGATATACCTAATGTTAAATGATGAGTTACTAGGTGCAGCACACCAATATTGCACATGTATACATATGTAACTAACCTGCACATTTTGCACATGTACCCTAAAACTTAAAGTATAATAAAAAATAAAATAAAATAAAGTTAAAAAAAACAATATCAACAACAACAAAAAAATCTAGTAGTGACCAACCTGGAGATTACTCTTTATCTATGAGGAGCAACTAAGCCCTTGGTCTTCCCATGCTGTTGCATGGAACACAGGCCACACAGGGGATTGAGGCCCTTAATTTTTGTTAAATGAAGGATAACAAGTAAAAGATTGTTCAGAAAAATGTGCTTAATAAAAATTTTATGCACACTGCATGCTTTTTGCAATTGCACAGGGTTGTCCTGCTAAGCCCACTGACACTGGACTTTCTCCCCTTGTGAAAGTCCCCAGCAAAACTCCATATCCCATTTATTAACTCTGAGTCTCTTCTTTGACATCTTGAACCTAGTACCATTTACATGGAAGTTGAATTTGACAAAACTTGTCCCATACTAAGGAAGGATTTCAGGATCTGCTCAATGTGCTTCAAAGCTCACCAAGGCATCATCTATAGAAGGATGCAGTTGTTCTCTTTATCACTATCATCCAGGGCTCATTTCCTTAGACGCACTTTCAGTGGAATACCAGGAAAGATGAACAAGAAACACATCATGGTCAGAAGGAACATTAATGACCAAATAAACAGTGAACACTTGGAAAGCAAAAGGGAGGATTTTGCTTTCTCCTGTGGGCAGCCCTCAACTTCTGTCATCACTTTCTGGCTTCAGTAATGGTTTTTAAGCTCCATCCTGGCTCTGGAGAAGCCTTAGGCATGGGGTGGTAATCACCTTCACTTAGTCCTGGTGCAACAGTGCTTTCTCTTGTCAAATATGACCTCTGTGATCATGAGCTTCTAAGCAATCTGGACAATGCACCACCTGAAAACCTATAAAAGGAAGATGAGTAGGTCTGAGGGAAACAATTTCCCACCTTTTTTCAGTGGCACATTCAAACTGTGATGGTAGACAAATGTGCAGAAGAGGACAGCATAGTATAACTCCATATTATGTGAGTTTACAAGCAACAGTTTTCATTCCTAGGTGTAAAAGCTCCAAATGAAAACCAGAAATTACTTCAGTGTGCATCTATCAATGATCGATTGCACAACATTTTGTCTATCATACTGAAAAGTATTCACTGAGGATTTTCTAACTGAACATAGAGATAAAGACAGGAGAATGTAAAATAGTAACTCCATAAAATCATTAAAGAAAGTGAAGAAATGTTAAACTTCTCACATCATTAGCATTTTTGTACCTATTTGCATGTATATCTACCCATAAAGCTGATATTTTCATAATTCAGTTAAATGTCAAGTTAAAATAAAATAAAATAAAGTATCAGCTAAACTCAGTGGCTTACACCTGTAATTGTAACATTTTGGGGTGCTGAGGGGGGTGAATCACTTGTGGTCTGTGGATTGAAACCAGTGAAGTGAATATGGTGAAACATCATCTCTACTAAAAATACAAAAAAAAAAAAGAAAGAAAGAAATAGCTGTGTATGCTGAGATCACACCACTGCACTGAAGCCTGGGCAATATAGCAAGATTCTGTCTCAAAACAAAAGAAAACAATTTTTGTCCTTTTTCAACAAGAAAAAGACACACATATGGTCAAGACATGCATGGGTGGAGTTGAGTGGTTGTGGAGCCTGTTCAGGAAAAAAGGAAGAAGAGTCAGCACCCTGGATTATGTGGGGAGGATTCACTGGGACACAAATAAAGACATAGTCATGGCCTCAGCCCAGCTACACTGAGGCTTGCATGGGGCTTCTGAAAGTAGCAGAAATGGCCTGTGACTCTGAATACTAGATAGGCCTGTAACAATAAAAGATCTGCGCAGGTGTTTTAGCAATCCTGCCAGGAGTCACTGACTATACCCTAGACTGGAGACTCCTGGGGTAGAGTGGCTACCATAGAGTCTCAGCAAACTTGAGTCTTGACCACGCTGGCTGGGTCAGTTTAAAATAGCTCATCTCTTCTGTTTTGTAAAACAAAAAATAAAGTTAAAAAAATGAAATAAAGAAAAATAAAATAAAAATTAAAAATAAATTTGAAGTAAAACATAGTAATGGTAAATAAACTAAAATAAAATAGAGAAAATAAGGAAAAAAATGTAATTAAGATCAGGAAAAATAAATAAAAAGATGAAGATAATAAATAAAATAAATTAAGAGAAATAAACAGAAATAATTAGCAACATAATAAAACAAGAAAAATGCAAGAATGAGGAGAAAACTAAAAATAAAATTAAAAAAGGAAATAAAATAATATGAAGGGACATGAATGAAAATAAATTAATAAAAACAAAACAATAAATAAAATATTACAAACAAGATACAAATTGGAGAAAATTTGAAATGAAGGGACTATAATAAGAAAAATAAAATAAAAAATAGAAGTGAAATTAAATTATTAATAAAAACAAAGTAAATAAATAAAATAAACAAAATGGAGATAAAGACAAATATACAGAGAAATAAAAGGATAAAGAAATAAGCTGTGGGCATAATCTACAAAACATTTCACCCAACAACAGCATAAAACATTATATTTATAATTACGTACAACATGTTTTGTCAGATAGGCAAACTTCTATGCTAGATGCACATTTCAGCATATTTAAACAGACGGCAATCACGAAAGGTATTATTTCTGTCCACAGTAATATAATGGGAAGTTAAAAACAAAAAGAAAACAGCACATCTGCATATATATGAAAACTAGACCAATTCTTGAGCATAGTATTTTTCAAGAGTTAAAACATGCAAGTTTCTTTAGATGTTAAAGGTATTCAAAATGATCTACAAATCAATGAGATCTCTTTTTAAAAAATAACAGTGGTTCTTTCTGGAGAAGTACTAAAATGCTCTAAAATGTTTGAATCAATATTTTGCTGTGTCATCCAGCCTGGAGTGCCATGTCATAATCATGGCTCACTGAGCCTTGAACTCTCAAGTTCAATTGATCCTCCCACCTCAGCCTCACAAGTAGCTGGGACTGCAGGTGCATGCCATCATGCTCAGCAAGTTTTTATGTTTTTTGTAGAGACAGTGTTTCACCATATTTCCCAGGCTGGTCTCAAACTCCTGGGCTACAGCAATCCACCTACTTTGGCTTTCCACAGTTCTGGGATCACATAGTGAGACAATAAATATTGCCCTGTAGTTTCTATAAACACTCAGAAAACCACAAGTAGTCAAACAGCCTGGAAATAAGAATAAACTCAGAGGCATAATTCCTTTTTATTTCAAAACATTTTGCAAAGTTATAATAATCAAAAGAGTGATGCTGGCATAGATAGAAAAATAAATTCTGAAACAGTAAGGGAAGCCAGATACAGTCAACTTATCTTAAACGGGGGTTCCAAATCCTCACATTGCAAAACTTTCTCCTTACTTCAGTAAAATTGGGTTCTTGTCACATGACTAGGAAACATTAGGTCAGGGACACTCTGAAGGATGAGGAGTAGAGTTGATTGAGTAAAATAAAGGAAGAAAAAAAAAACAACTCTCAAAAAAGTGAGTGGGAGTTCTGTTTACAGGGCCTCTCCTCCCAGATTGCTGAACACCAGACCATCACACAGGAAGTGAAGAGTCCCAGATCCTCCTCTATGTACAAGGCCTGAGCTTTCCGTGGCTCCACTCTCTTCCCCCAGTATGCAGGTGGACATTATTCAGAGAGAATCAGTTTGAAAAAGGCAGGCTTTTTCTGAGACCAGCAGTCTCAGTTTTCAGCCTGCAGGCTGTTTTAGGCTTGAAGGCGGGGTTTCACCCAAGACCCTTGGCTGTTCCCTAACTCTGTTATTTCCCCACTAAATAAGTACATCTTACTGTGGTTGGAATAACGATAAGCATGAAGACAAAAACCACTTTTAAGTGCTTCCTGCTGACTGGGGGCTTTGGTTTAAAAAAAAAATGGCAGTCAGAACTCCCTAAGAGGCCTAAGTGTCCCCAGTTAAAAGTGCCATTGTCCAAGCCTATTGCTGCATGACTGTTTGGAGTTTCATAGCCTGAAGGTGAGAAGAATCAAACTGGGTTATTTTTTAAAAATGTATTAAAATGAAACAAGGGGAATGGGGGCAAGGACAGCTCACAAATTCCTAGGTCTTTTACCAGTTTGCATAGGGAAAGGGAGATCAAAAGCCCAAATGGAACAACAAAAATTTTACCCTTACCCTTTTCGAGCATGTCAGTTTTCTGGGTTCTGGGTTCTTTTCTCCTGAGTTGAATCCTAAGCAAACCAGTCTAAGGTTTGGGAAATTAACTCTTTCAAATTCAAAGGATGCACCAAGAAGAGTGTCCCACAGTATTGAGACCTGATTACCTATCTGTAAAGAGAATACACAGGAGAATAAATGAAAAAAAGTAAGCATTTTTTCAAAGGAGTTCCAAGGGTTCAGGATGCATTTGAAAAAAGTATAAAATGAAGATGAATGGCTACTTATCTAGAAAGAGAGAGAGGAGGAGGTGTCTCTAGTTTCTTTCTCTTCCTAGCAAATACCCAGGGTATGTTGAGATATAGGAGAAAGAATATTCTCTTTCCCTTTTCAATCCTTGTACCCCTGAGTCCCATAATTGTTACAGTTTGCCACTCCTGGGTGTCAAGGCAGTTTTCATCCATGTTAACAGGGAGATCTGGGGAGGGAAACTATCTGCTCTTACCTACATATGCCCTATCTCCCCTGCTGTTAGTAGTTCTGGAGTTCACTCGACCTCATTTATGACAAGGATGCTGGCATAATCCTTATCCATGAAATGGGAGGGTTGGCATTATCAGCTCCAATTAGTCATGTCAACCTGCACAGTTTTTTAACCTCCATTATCATCAGCCTCTGATTTTCTCAGATCCAGTAATCTTTCCTAGAGCTTTGACCTGAAGCTTGAAATTGAGGTTGGGATAAAAATGTTTCTCAGTGGATTACATGGAATTATTTCATCATAGGTCTTTTACATTGGCTTTGATGGAACTCTGTTCAACAAGAAATTTCAGATAAGACCTTCTAATGTGAAGCCCAGCCATGGGTTTTACCCTTAAATACTTATGAGTTGGGTGATTCTCTCCTCTTATGGTCCCAAGATAAAGTTGGAGTCCCTGGGGCTGTCAGAAAGTGTCATTCTTTACTTTCCACAGATAAACCTGCACTATGACTGTATAGATGAGGTATGAGTCCTGTTTTTCCAAGGGGCTTTTATTGGCTCTGCAAGTTGAGCTTGACTCCTTAAAGGGAAGCAAACCCTTTCAATCAAGTCCTTGGTAAAACAACCAGTTTCTGCAGGTGTGCCCTGTTGGAAAAGAAAATGGATTATTATTGCTCTGATGCAAGCAGTTATATTGCCATAAGTTTAGAAGACTCAGAACTACTTTTCAAATTCTGGAGAAGCCAGGCAGAGAGAGGCAAACATATTCTATATTTTGTTCACAGGAGTACACCTTACTCAAATGTTAAAGGCTGTAAATAGCTCAAAATAAGTTGCCTTGACTCTGGTAAACAATAGAAGAAGCAGTAATGTTACAATCAAAAGTCAGAAAAAATACTTCAGTTTTCTATTAGTCCACCCCTTTCAGTTAACTCTTGTTTTGTTTGATATTCATGAACATTTTAGCTCTTCATTATGCTGTACTTTTTTCTTATATTCCAATGTCACAAGCTCCAAAGTGATTAGAAACCTGCAATTGAGAGGACCTGTCAAAGATCTGTAGCTGATTAAAAACCACTTTATAAAAAAAATCAAAACAGACAACAATTGTCTGTGTATAACAAATTGCCCAGGGTAGTTACAGTCAGAAATAAGATTGACAAAAAATTTCAGTTTATTCTGTGGTTTACAATATCTTAAACAATCTTCACTTTGATTGATAGCATATACTTCAGACATTAGAATTTTTGAAATCCCATACAATTTTTGAACATGTATAAGTATTATTCATCAAAATATCATCTACAGAATATTGAACACCATTTTGGCAATTCTATGTAACTAAACATGCCATATAATCCTGTTTACCTCTCTTGTGGATACTCTAGGGGCTCCCTTTAGCATCCAAAAGCCACAAGGTGGGAAAAACAATTTTGTAACTAAAGTTTGATTTTGAGAAGGATGTTACATGTTAGGGGTTTAAAACACTAGATGTTATAAAATAAAATTCCAGATTACCATAAATTACTTATTTAACCAAAATGATGACTTACAAATTTAAAAAGCAAAAAGCTTTTATAAATTCTTTACAAATTTTGCTAAAGAATAGACACATGCCTTAAAAGTAACTTGTGTGCTTTTATTTTAAGGCTCAATTTACAAAAAACCCATATAATACCTTTTTGAATTTAATTAACATTCACACAGAGAATTCCTCTGTCAACATTTATTTTTACAAGACTTCTACAACTTGTTTGAACTTTTTGCTTTATCTTATGTAATTCAAAACAATTGCTTGACCCTAGGCAAGAATTTATATTTCCATGACTTTTAGTCTTTTCTTAAAAACACATTTTACTGCTCTTACACACCTCATATGTAAATCTACTTCCAGTGGTTTCAATTACATATTGTAATGGTAATTTCTAACAATTTTAACTTTAGTATAAAACCAGGTAAATTTTATTAAGTAAGTGCTAGGTGTAGCCAAGAGTTTCACTTTTTTCAACATAATTAAGGATGTTGTTAATTCCACTTGTCCTCAGGCCTTACCAATTGTGAAGCAAGGTTAAACTGTTCTCAAAAAAAAGCAGTTTATAATTTTGAAACATTTAGCAAACCTAGTATCTGACCTGAATAATTTAGTCCACCTACTCATATATTGATGACATTTGTGTTTTACCGATCACTTTTAAGGCTGTATTTATTTTTCAATTAAATTTATTAGAGCTCTTTTTATAGACATCACAGACACAACACACATATATATATACATATACAGGCAGAAGAAAACCCAGTAGCCATAAGATTTTTTGTTTGCCAATTTTCTGATTAAATTACTGCTCTGACATGCATGCACTACAATGGCAAGACATAATAAAGAAAAATAATTCAGTTGGTGGAGAAAAAACCTTTTACCAGCAAAACAAGATCCCAGAAGAGAAAAACATACAGGCCTTTTAAATATGCCTATAATTTGGATATCCACTTTTAATTAAGTTGAGCACACTTTAAGAAAATTATTTTATTATTTTTTTTACCTGACTCTACCAGCCCCAAGCAGCCAGTATTTCTGGCTTTCCAACTTTACTAAAGATAATTTACCAGGTGGTCAGAAAAAAACAATATAAGGCAATTTGTGAAGGAAAAGAGAATCTGAAAATGGCAAAAGTCACATGCTGATATGAAACCAGAAGGCACTCACTTCCTAAGCCAAGATTAAACCTGAGCCACCATTGTAAAATGGCAGAGTCCAAAACGAAACATCACCATGTGATTACAGGTCACAGTCCTAAAAACATACAACAAGATGGAGGCCTACAGTAAAATTTCATAGCAAACATAGAGAATGACATACAAAGCACACCAGATTGGCCGCAGCTCAAGACCAATATCACAAATACCCTTTCAAATTAATACTCTACAAAGAATATAAGCAGTGATCACTGGGGTCCTAGCCCAGCAAAACCTCTTCTAAGAAGAAAAAAGGCCTTTTTCTTAAAAATAAACTGCTGACAGGGTGAAAAAAAAAGTCTAAAATGTAGGGCAGGGAAGAAAATTTTTATTCTTATGTAATAGGGTTCCTTCAACCCAGTGAAAAACTTAATTGCTGTTGGATGAGGCTGGATCTCTTGGGCATTGAAGGGGAAGACATCGTAAATTTCTGGCACTTTACATCCCAGAAGAGATGGGGGTTAAAAGCCGACATTCACCTGTCATCTCGCATGTACTTTGGGCTGTTATGGTGGGGTGGTGCATGGTTTCCTCTACCCTCGGGAGAAGTCCAAGGATGAAAAGGCTTACAAGTAAAAGAGAAAAAAAAATTGATTTACATCTTACATTTCCTCAAGCCTCACATGTAGACACTGAACTGTAGAACTTTTTCCTTATTTCAGCTAAAACTATGAACTTGTCACATGACCAGGAAGGTATAAGATAATGGACACACTGAAGCATGAGGAGAAAAGATTTTGGGCAAAATGGAAACAGAAACAAACAAACAAACAAACAAAACTGTCAGCAAAATGAGAGGTTATCCTGTTAACGGGCCCCCACCACACAGATTGGTGAACACCAGGTGTCCACATAGCAACCGAATAATCCAGGCTTCTCCCCTTTCAAAAAATGTGAATTTCCATGGCTCCACCTTCTTTTCCCAGTGCACAGGTGGGTATTACTTAAAGAGAAAGAGTCAGAAAATGGCCAGCTTCATCCAAAATCCACAGTTTAAGTTTTTCAGGCTTCCAGCTGTTTTAGATGGCAGAGTTTTGCCCAGGACCCTTGACATTCTCCTCTATCACTCACAATGTTAAAAGTTTCCTTGGCTATTTTCTGTCTATGTCACTCAGAATGAGAAAGGCACAGTCTGACTAACAAATGGCTTGAAGAACACTGAACATCTAAATGATAAAAAATGTTGGGGTAAGGTTCATTACAACAATGAACATAAAATGAAGTAAGACTTTTAATTTTACAGCTGTTGAGAATGATTTTTTTTCTTGAATTTATTTTCCAAATGGCTTATTCTTGGCATGTAAAAATGCTACTACTAATTATTGTAGTTTAATTTGGTAGTCTGCCACTTTATTAAATTTCTTTGTTTTCAAGCTTTTTAGTGTAGTATTTAAACTTTCCTATATAAACAATTATGTAATCTGCAGAGATAATTAAATTTTCTCTTTTTTATTTGGATGTATTTTATTTCTTTCTCTTGCATAAGTGATCTGGCTGAGATTTCCAGTACTCTGTTCAATAAAAGTGGTAAAAGTAGACATCATCGTCTTGTTCTAGATCTTAAATAAAAAGATTTCTTCTTTCTCTGTTCAGTGTGATATCAGGTCTTGATTTTTCATATGTTACCTTAATTGTTTTGAGGTAAATACTATCTACACCTAATTTATTCAGTTGTTTTAATCACAAAGGCATGTTAAAATTTTCCAAATATTTTAGTGCACCTAAAATAAAAGATAAAGGTGGCTAGCCATAAACTTAATTAAAAAGATAAACCGCCCTCTACACTATAAATTATACAACACTGATGAAGAAACTAAAAAAATGAAAAATTTTAGCAATTTTTTTGCTCATGAGTTATAAAAAATATTATTAAAGTGGCTATGCTACTCAAAGCAATCTACAGATGCAGTGCAAAGCCTACAAAAACACCAATGACTTTTTTTTTTTCACAGAAATGGAAAAAGCAGGCCTAAAATTTATAAGGAACAAAATAACTTCCCAAATAGCCAAAGAAATTTTGTGAAAAAAATAAAGCTGAAAGCATCAGACTAACTGACTTCAAAATATATGACAAAACTAATAACAAGAAAGAATGATATTGGCATGGAAAACAGACATATAGACCAAAGTATGCAGTGATCACAATAATCAGTTAATAAACCTATTGCCAAGTAATTTTTAAGTTGTTTAGTGTATGCATTTAAGGCAAGACAGTAGTTTCAATGAACAGTGTCAAGGAAAATTGATTAAATGAAAACAACTAGGTGCCTACCTGTTACCATAAAAGAACTTACATAAAAATAAAAAAGATTTAAATATAAAACTGACACCTATAAAAGTATTTGAATAAAACATGGAGAAATTATTTACCAAATAGGAGAGGGAAAAATATTTTAAATCGGACCTCAAAAGCACAGGCAACAAAAGCAAAAGCAGACAAGTGAAATCACCAGAATCTAAACAATATTTACATAGCAAAAATAGCAGAGTAAAGGGACAATTTTCAGCATAGAATAATAATTTGCAAAATATACATATGACACAGGGAAAAGATACAGAATATACAACAAACTTAACAGCAAAAATAACACAAAATTTAATAATAGGCAAGAGAGCTTAAATGACATTTCTCCAAAGAAGACAAAAGTGACCAAGTTCATGCAAAGATGCTCATCATTATTTATTCATAGAAAACTGCAAATCAAAGCCACAATAAGATACCAAGCCACTCCAGTTAAAATGACTATAATTAGAAAACATACATGCCTCGCCCTTTCAACAGGAGGCATTGTGACGTACTTGGGGCCTGTCATTTACATTATATGATTCTCCTCTTCAGCCTGGACACTGCCCACAAAGGACATTGTGCCATACAGTTGGGCATAGCTCCAAAGTTATAGGGCTTTTCTGTCAGGAGCTTGCCTATGAGGAAACTATTGGAACAATTCCTGCCTCTGCATTTAGGTTATGTAGCTGTCGGGCCTTTTTCATTACCACAGAGTAAATTTTGACATATACCTAGGCACAACTCACAGACCTGATAATGAGTATCATATGTGGACCCCACAAATAGGAGTAATTTTGATTCTTGTAACTTGCTTTAGAAACAAGAGTAATGTCTTTGATCTCTTTCTGGTAAAAAGGTCTCGTAAGATTATAATAGCCTCAGATACTTTACAAAGCCCTTGCCTTGTATGGAGTGGCATAACAGAACCTAGAGGAAAGGTAAAATTGTGAGTCTCATATCACACTCAGCTGACAGTAAGGACTTTCACCTATGAGGCTATGACTCCCCTACTGCAACACAATCTTCATGTGTGATTGGACATCTTATAAGTGGATCTTGCCCATTGCTGTAATTGTGACTCCTCTGATTTGACCCAACTCACAAGATATGTTGACTGAAATACACGAAGCCAGGACATGTTTGGGACTTTGAAACGTATTTCTGAATATTTCTTAGTGTGTGATTAGGACATAAAAGTTAACCCAGCTCCTGAATAACTTTACTCTCCTTTTTAGGCAATGACCACAGATAAAATTGTGAGATATGTGGACCATACACCTAAGAAAATTTGCCTGGACCTGCCTACAAAGAGCACTTTTATATATCATTTGGACCAGCACCTAGGTGATGTGAAATTTTGCCTAATCCCTGTCTATAAAAAGCATTGTGGATTGTATCTAGGTTCATCATGTAAGTGATGTGACTCCCTTCTTCTGCCTTGGCCCTCCACTTATGGTGCATTGTGACACATAACTCAGTACTGCACCCAGGTGATGCTACTCTGAGTTTGTGGTTCTGACAATAGGAAGCTTTATAGCATGTCACTTGGCTCAGCACCTAGGTGATGTTGCTCCTCTTTTGCCTCACACTGAACACAGGAGAGATTGTGATATATTGCTAAATAAAGCAAGAGGAAGTCACTTTCATACCTTGCTCCTGCACATAACGGCCATTGTGATATATATCTAGGCCCATTGCTTAGGTGAAGTGAGTCTCCTCACCTTCCTATGCCCTGCCCACAGGGGGAGTTTTGATGTATCACTAAAACCAGCATCCAGGTGATGTGACTCTTCTTTCAGGGTCTTGCCCACAAGAAGAATTGTGACATCTCACTGGACCAGCACTCACCCAGGGGATGTGACGTTCCTGCTTTCTGTATGCCCACAGGTCATATTGTGCCATATGCCTGAGACAAGATAAGAGGACTAATCATGTCTCTTAAACCTGGAGTCAAGATATATGCATGATGGTGATTCCCATTCCTGGAACTTTCCACCTGTGTTTTTGTGACATATACCTTTACCCAACTTTCTCAGTGATTTAATCAATTTTTGAGGTGTAGCCCACACATAATATTTAGACATTCACCTATGCTGAGCACCTTGCTGATTAGATTCTCATGTCTTAACAATACCTTCAGGAAGGATGTAACATGTCTCTGCATCCATTATCTAGGTTACCCAGACTTTCCTCTCCTGCCTGAACTCTGGTACTACTGGGGATTGTAGCATTTATAAGCACTCCATTCAAATCATATGACTCTCTTGCCTAGTCCTTTCAACAGGAGACATTTTGAAACATATCTGGTCCTATCATTGAGGTAATATTCTCTCCTCTTCTGCCTGGACACTGACAACAATAGGCATTTCTGGCTCAGCATTTAAGTGGCTTGGCTGTTGTAACTCTTTCGTTATCACAGAGTAAATTGTGATACACACAATTTACTAGTTACAGCTCACAGGAATAATAATGACCATCATATATAGATCCCACAAATAGGAGTAATTTTGAGTTTCCTAACTTGCTTTAGAAACATCAGTGATTAAATCTCTTTCTGATAGAAAAGGAGGCTACAGAAGATTATTATAGCCTCAGATATTTTATAAAGCCCTTGGTTTGTACAGAGAGTGTAATAATGGAACCAAGCAGAAAGGTGAAATTATGAGTTTCATATGCACACCCAGCTGAAAGTAAGGACTGTCACCCTCTCACATATATAAAGCCAACTGTCACCCATGAAAACAGAACATGTGTAGTATTGTAAATCTCAACTCAGGAATTTTCTGCCAGTGTGATTGTGGTATAAATCTTTGCCCAGCACCTGTGTGATTTGACTCCCCAGACTGGTTCCAGCCCACATATATCATTATGATATCTACCTGGGCCAGCCTCTAGGTGATGTGACTCTCCTGCCTGGGCCTTTCTCTCCGTAAGAATCGTGACATATCACTAGATCCAGCACCCAGATTATGTTACATTTTTGACTGAGCAACATGCAAATGAATAATTGTGACATATCACTGTTTCAACCACTTAGGTGATATAACTCTGTTCATTAGAATGAGCCTTGTACACAGTGGAAGATAGTGACATATGGCTGGGCCAGACACACAGGTGATGGTACTCTTTTGCTAATGCTGTGTCCTGAAGAGGGCACTGTGAAAAATCTCTGGGCCTATCACATAGGTGATGTTGCTGTCCACCTTGGATCCTGCTTACCTTGATAGTGACATATTGCTAGGCCGGGCAAACAGGAGATGGAGCTCTTTCACAAGGACCATGCCACAAGGATGACACTGTGATATGTCTCTAGGTCTATCACCTAGGTGATGTGACTCCCTGCTGGAGCCCTATCCACAAGGAGCATTGTGACATAAGGTCAGAACCTGCAAGTATTTGTTGTAGCTCTCTGACCTGGGTCTTTTCTTAAGGAGACATGCAGCATATCTATAGACCTACCATCAAGCTGATTTGACTCATCTGCCTGGCTTCAACTCACATATTAGATTGTGTCATATACCTAGGGAAGCACCTACATGATATGACTCTTCTATTCTGCCTGACCAATGCCTTCTTGGGACACTGGGCCATATATCTGGGCCCGTGTCCTATGTGATGTGACTCTTTTCTTCTGCCTGAGTCTTTACAATGGGATGATGTGACATATTGCTAAGCCCAATCCTTGGGTAATGTGACTCTTCTTTTTTTTTCCCAAACCATGCTCATGAAAAGGATGTTGGATGTATTGCAGGACCCAGTACACAGATGACATTTCTCTTCTACCTGTGTCCTGCATAAAGAGAGAATTATGGCATATTGCTGGGCCCCCCACCCTGATGATATAACTCTCCTGCCTGTGCCAGTGCAACAGAAAGTATTTTTACATACCTTCGGCAAATCTCTAGGGGTTTTGCTCTCAACATTTGTCTGGGTTGTTTTATATATGTATATAGCATTGTGTCATATTGTTGGTTCCAGCACACAGTTAATGTAACCCTCATTACTAGACCCTGCCTAGAGAAAGCATTGTGACATATTCACAGCAGCTAAATTATGCTACACTCCTGCCAAGTTTATTTTTCTGTGAATGGGATTATAAATTTTATGTTGCTTCATTTCACAGGCATGATAATCAAACTTAAATTGGGATTCCACCTGTCATAGGTATTTTGTCTCTCATCAGTAAGCTTAATGCAATATATAAGGTTATGAGTTGCATAGTGTTCAAAGCTCACAGATGTTTACAATAATAACTCATACACTGTAAACTCCTTTGCTGGTACACAGACCTTCATAACAGGGCCCAGCACAAGGTTAAGGTTGTGACTCTTGATTACACATGCAGGTGGGAGCAAAAGTTGTCACTATCTCACATTAACAAGCCCACTGTTGAAGGTCTTAGTCTAGCAAATAAATAAATTAGAAAGATGGAATTGTGACTTTCATCTGTGGATCTTGGTACATGTCACATAGTGATTATTTTCTGAAACCAGGTCACAGACATAACAAGATGTGTCCTGTCTGAACCCAGCCTATAAGAGAGATGTTAACTATCATAACTGAATTTAGGGCAATATGTAAGATTTTGGGTCAATATGAGCACATAGGCCTTAGAATGGTTTGCAATTCACATTCATGTTGCATAAAGCCTTCAGATGTTTTAGACTGTGTTATAAGCTGAAGAAGAACACATGTGAGATTGTGACTCTTACATATACACACCAAGCTAACAATTAAAGGTGCTACCCTAAAAGATAAGGTGATTGTGTCACGTCACTAGAACTAGTAACCCGGTGTTGAGACTATGTTATTTCAGTTCTTTCCCATGGGTGCATTGAGAAATATCACTGAGTCAGAATGATAACAATGTGACTCTTCTACTTGAACTCAGGGAACAGGGAATATTATCACATATCTCTGGACTATTAACTAGATGATGTGTCTTTCCTGCCAGTGCCCTACCCACAGGGGACACTGTGACATATCGCTAGATCTAGCATCTAAGTAATATGACTCTCCTCTCCTGCCTGAATCCTGTCCAGTGATGAAATTGTGACATACCACTGAGTGGAAAACCTAGGTGATGTGACTCTCTTTTGTCCTGCACTCTGCCGGAAGAGGTAATTATAACATATTGCTGAGCCCAGCACCCAGAGCGTGTGACTATCCACGATATATATATCCACTATATATATATATTTTTTTTTCCCTTGAAATGGAGTTTTGCTGTTATCACCCACACTGCAGTGCAAGGGCACAATCTCAGCTCTTTGCAACCTCGCCTTCTAGTTTCAAGCGATTCTCCTGCCTCTGCCTCCCAAGTAGGTAGGATTACAGGCACTTGCCACCTCACCCAGCTATTTTTTTATATATTTTTAGTACAGACGGTGTTTCACCATCTTGGTCAGGTTGGTCTTGAACTCCTGAACTCAGGTGATCAAATCAACTTAGCCTCCCAAAGTGCTGAGATTACAGGCATGAGCCACATGCCCAGCCGAGTATCCGCTTTTTTCTCAGCCCTGTATACAGTGGGCATGATGACATATTGTTGGAGACTTTATCCATGCTCTATGACTCTTCTGCATGGCTCCTGCCTACAAAGGAGGTTAAAATGTTTCCCTGGCTCATTACCCAGATGATGTGACTCTTCTGTCATATTTCTATCCAAAAGTGAGATTGTGACATAAACCTGGATTTAGCTCATATGCACAATAATATGTCTCATACCTAGACCCCACCAGGGGAAATATATCAACTCTCATAGCCAGTCTTATGGCCATGGGTAAAGTTCTAGATGTTCTACCTGTAAGAATTCAGAGGGAAGTATGCTACTTACTCAGGCATATCATATAAAACCTGAGTGACACAAATAGTGTCATAACAGGCACCGACACCTAGGTGCTATTGTGGCTCTTGGATCCACACACAGCTGACACGATTGTCACTCTCATACATGAGCAAAGCCTAGGAATAGGGTACTAAATCTCACACACGTACACAGTAGAAGCTTGAAATTGTTACATTCATACATGAATATGACCCACAGGTGGCTTGGTGGCTTTTGAATTATGATTCAGCAGACTTGCAGTGTTTTGACTCTCCTACTGGACCACAATCTTTAAGTGGGATTGGGGCTCTTATATATGGATCTTACCCATTGTTGAGATAGTGACTCCTGTAGTACTTGAACCCAACTTATAGGAGGTGTTCATTCACATGCCTGAAGCCAGGACTTTTGTGGGACTGTCAAACTTATTTCTGAACATTTTCAAGTGTATGATTGAGAAGTATGACTTTGACCTGCCTCTGAAGGTTTTCACCCTGTTTTCTAGGCCCATAGCACAGTTCAAACTGTGACATACATGCACCAAGCACCTAAGCATTATATAGCACCTTCTTTGTCAATGCAACAAAGGGCACTTCTACATATCACTGGTACCAACAACCAGCTAATGTAAAATCTTGGCCTGAACCCTGCCTAAAAAGAGCATCGTGGCTTTTATCTAGGTCCATCGTGTAAAATGATGTGACTTTCTTCTACTGCCTTGCTTCTGCCCTTATAGCGCATTGTGACAATACAGCGTCCTGTACCCAGATGATGTGACTCTTTTTTTGGGGGGAGGAGTGTTCTGCCAATAGAAAGCATTGTAACATATCACTTGGCTCAGCACCTAGGTGATGTTTCTTTTCTCTTGTCTGGGCTCTGACCACCAGAGACATTGTGACATATTGCTGAACTCAGCACCAAGATGAGGTCACTCTCCTGCCTTTGTCCTGCACATAGGTGCCATTTTACACATATGAAGACTAATAGTCTATGTGAAGTTCGTCTCCTCTCCTTCCTAAGCACTACCCACAGTGTGGATTCAGATATATCACTGCTACCAGAATCCACATGATGTGACTCTTCTTCCAGGGTCCTGCCCACAAGGAGGCTGGTGACATTTCACTAGACCAACACCCATTCAAGCGATGTGACTTTCCTTTCTTCTCCCTGCCCACAGGTGATATTGAGCCATATACCTGAGACCACAACAAAGGCCTAATAATGACTCTTGTACCTGGATCCAGGACATGTGCAGGATGGTGACTCTCATCACTGAACCTTTCCACAGGTGTTATTGTAACATGTACCTTTGCCCAGCTCCTGCGTGATTTAATAATCCTGCCTAGTTATAGCCCACAGATGACATTTTGACATAGACCTGTGCCAAGAACCTCGTTAATTTGACTCTCCTGTGTTAACAGTTTTTGCAGAAAATATTATAACATATCTCTAGACGCACTGTCTAGGTTATGTGTCTCCTCTACTGCCTGAACCCTACTTCCAATGAGAAGTGTAGCATTTTAAGCACTGTATCCAAAAGACATGAATCTCTTGCCTGGGCCCTTTCAACATGAGTCATGTGACATATTTCTGGGCCCATCATTGAGGTAATATGATTCTTCTCTCCTGCATGGACACTCTCCATAAGAGGCATTATGCCATACAGTTGGGCCTAGCACCCAAGTGTTCTGATTTTGTGTTAGGTCCCTGCCTACAAAGAAAATATTAAGGTGATGTGGCTATCCTACCTGTTTAATAACTTCAGAGGGGATGGTGACATAATGACATATACCTAGGCACAGCTAACAGGCATGAAAATGACTCTCATATGAGGACCCAGCTAATAGGAGAAATTTTGACTCATAGCTGTGTTTAGAAACATGAGTGCCATCCAGGATCTCCTTCTGATAAAAAGGTCACAGAAGATTACAATGCTCACATATATTTTATAACAAACTTGTGTTGTATAGAGAGTGTCATAGTAGGGCCTAGCACACAGAGGAAATTGTGAGTCTGACATGCACACCCACCTGACAGTAAGGAGTTTCACTATCACATGGATGAAGGTAACTGTTCTACATGAAACCACGATATGTGTTGTATTGTAGATCTAGTCCCAATAATTTTCTTCCATTTTGACTGTGATATAAATCTTTGTCAAGCACCTGTGTGATTTCACTCTTCAGATTGGTTTGATCCTACTTATGGGATTTTGATAAGTACATGGGCCAACCTTGAAGTGATGTGACTCTTCTACCTGGGCCCTCCTCTCGGTAATAATGGTGACATCAATGGATCCAGCACACAGGTGATGTTACATTCTTGCCTGGGCCATATCCACAGATATCATAGTGACATTTCACTGTGTCCATTACTTAGAAACTCTCCTCTCTAGAATGGGCCCTGCACACAGGGCAGAATAGTGACATATACCAAGGCCAGACACACAGTTGTTGATACTCTTTTGCCAGGGTCACACCCAAAAGAGGGCATTTTGGCACATCACAGGGTGTATCATATAGATAATTTTGTTCTTCTTGAGACTTGCCCGCTTGAGTTGTGACATATTGCCAGGCTAGGCACAGTGGTGATGCAACTTCTTTTTGCCAGGGCTATATTTTAAGGAAAGCTTTGTGACATATCTCTGAACCTATTACCTAGGTGAGGTGACTTCCTGATTGGCCCTTCTCACATGGATTTTTGTGACAAAAAGAGTGGAACCTGCACCTAGGTTATGTAAGTCTCTTGTCTGGGGTTTTTTCTAAGGGGACTTGTGAATATCTCAGGACTGAGGATCAGGTGATGCGGCCCCTCAGCCTGGTTTCTGCCCACATATTAAATTGTGACATATATGTAAAGAGCATATTGGTGATAAGACTCTTTTTCTGCCTGAGCCCTTCTGACCGGTGACATTGAACCATATCTCTGAGCCCACGGCTAACATGATGTGACTCTCTTATTCTGTCTGGGCCTTTACAATGGGAAGAGTGTGACATATTGATGAGCCCAGGACTTACGTAAAGTGACTCCCGCCTTCTTGCTGAACAATGCCTATGAACAGGATTTTTGCTGAATTTTGGGGCCCAGTACCTGGATGATGTTACTTTTCTCCCTAGGTCACGAATAAAGAGGGAATTGGAACATATTGATTGGCCCAGCACGCTAATGATGTGACTCTTTTGCAGGACCACATATGTTACTTTGACATATCTTTTTTCCATACTAGAAGTGTTTTGGCTGTCATCACTTTATTGTGTTTCTTCCCTGTGTGGTTGTATCACATTGCTGGCTCCAGCCCCCAGTTAATTTCACCTCTTTCCCAGGCCCTGCCTAGAAAAGGCATTGTGACATATTGCTTGGCCTAGCCCCTAAGTGATGTTAACCTTCTGCCTAGTTTTTTGCCCACAAATTGCTTCAGTTCAAAGTGATGATGTTTAAGCTTATATTTGGATTCAGCCAGTAGGAGATATTTTGACTCTAACCACCAGGCTTAGGTCAATATGGATGGTCCTTCATTGCATATTCATACAAATCTAACAGAGTTTTACTACACTAACTGATATCACAAGAACTCTTGGGCTGTACAGAGAGTTTCTTAACAGGGCCCAGCAAAAAGTGAAGATTGTGACTCTCAACTACACACTCAGGTGAGTGTAAAATTTGTTACCATCCTACATTTACAAAGCCCAATGCTGAGGTCCTGATAAATGAATACAGCCCAAAGTTGAAATTATGACTTTCATAAGTGAATCTGTCAACATGTGGCATGGTGATTCATTTCTGGATCCAGCTCACAGACATGATAATTGTCTCATCACTGAGGCCAGCCTATGGGAGAAATTTTGACTGTCATTTCTGTGTTTAGGGCAATATGCAAGATCATGAGTCCATATAAGCATGTAGGCCTCAGAGAGGTTTGCAGCTCTTATCCATATTTTATAAAGTTCTCAGGTGTTGTAAAGAGTGTCACATAATGGCCAGCACACATGTGAGATTATGACTCTCCTATACACAACTACCTGATCACTAATGATATCACCATTAAAGATCAGGAGATTGTGTTATGTCCCTTGGCCTAGTACCCTGGTGTTCAGAATTTTTGGAGTGAATTCCTTTTCCTAAGGGCATTATGGGTCAGAATCATCATAATGTGATGGTGTATAATGATGGTATATCATTATCACACGATAATGTGATAATGATGATAACTTTCTGCCAGGGCCCTGCAAACAGGGTATATTTTCCCATATCTCTGAGTCTACTGGCTAGGTGAGATGTCTCTCCTGCCAGTTCCGTGCTGGCAATTGACACTGTTACAAATCACTAGACATAGCATCTAGGTTATATGATTCTAGTTTCCTCCCTGGATCCTGCCCATTTAAGAAATTGTGACATATGACTCTACTCTCCTGTCTGGATCCTTCCCACTTAAGAAATTGTGACATACCAGTTTCATCCATCATTCTCAGCGAACTATCGCAAGGACAAAAAAACCAAACACCGCATATTCTCACTCATAGGTGGGAATTGAACAATGAGAACACATGGACACAGGAAGGGGAACATCACACTCTGGGGATTGTTGTGGGGTGGGGGAGCGGGGAAGGATAGCATTAGGAGATATACCTAATGCTAAATGACGAGTTAATGGGTGCAGCACACCAACATGGTACATGTATACATATGTAAAAAACCTGTACATTGTGCACATGTACCCTAAAACTTAAAGTATAATAATAATAAAATTTAAAAAAAAGAAATTGTGACATACCAGTACTGCAAAACCTAGGTGACATGATTCTTCTCTTTGTCCTGGGTTCAGCCATGAGAGGGAATTACTATATATTGCTGAGCAGAGCAACCAGGTGGTGTGCTTCTCTTTTTTCTCTTCAAACCTGTCTACATTAGCTATGGTGACATATTATTTGAGGTTGTACACGGGTAATGTGGCACTTCTGCCTTATTACTGCTCCCATGTTAGATTGTGACATGTAACTATGGAAAC
Organism: Homo sapiens; assembly: GCF_000001405.40. Taxonomy (NCBI): domain Eukaryota; kingdom Metazoa; phylum Chordata; class Mammalia; order Primates; family Hominidae; genus Homo; species Homo sapiens. The sequence goes on along the minus strand of NC_000024.10, from coordinate 8,387,519 downwards.
TCCTAGGAGAAATGACTCTCCTTTTCTGCCTCTGTCCTACCTACTATAAATGCTACACCCTGATAATGTGACTCTCATGCCTATGCCAGAGACACAGAAGGTATTTTGACATATCCTAGGCCAATTATGTAGGTGTTTTGGCTCTCATAACTTGCCTGCTTTTTCCCTCATGTTGGATGGTGTCATATTCCTGAGTCCAGCACACATTTAATGTGACTCTCATTCCTATTTTCTGCCTAGAGAGGGCATTTTAACATATTGCTTGGCATAGCTAGCACCTAAGTGATGTTACCCTCCCACCTAGGTTTTTTCCCCAAAATGCATCACATATGCATTACTTCAGTTCACTGGCATGATTTTCAAACTTATACTGGGATTCATCCTATAGAAGATATTTTGCCTTTCAATACTAGGCTAACGGGAATAGGTAAAGTCCTGAGTTGCATATTTGTACCAAGCTCAGAGAACATTACAACACTAACTCTTAATGTATAAACTCCTTATGTGGTACAGAGAGTTTCATGATAGTGACCAACAAAAAGTTCAGATTGGAATTCCTATATATATATCCAGGTGAAAGCAAATGTTGTCACAATCCCACATGTCCAAAGCCCACTGTTAAGATCATGAGACTAATAAGTTAATACAGAGCAAAGTTGGAATAGTGACCTTCATATGTGAATCTGGCCACAGGTGGGATGGTGCCTTAATCCCTAATCTAGCTCACAGGAATAATAATGAGTCTCATCCCTGAATGCAGCCTACAATAAAGATATTGAATATTATACCTCGGTTTAGGGCAATTACAAGATCATGAATTCGTATGAGCACGTAGGCTTCAAAGTGGTTTGCAACACTGATTGATGCTGGATAAAGCTTTTGAATGTGTAGAGTTTCATACAATGGCCAAGGAAAAACATAAGATTGTGATTCTAATATGCACATCCAGCTCACAGTTAATAGTATCATTCTCAAGGATGAAAAGATTTGGCAAATTATTTCACTTAATACCCAGGTGTTGAGGATTTTTGGCTTAAATATCTTCTCATGGGTGCATTGTTACATATCACTGGTTAGAATCATAATAATGTGACTCTTCTGCCTGAACCCTGAAAACAGGGGATATTATCACATATCTCTTGGGCTATAGGCTAGGTGATTTGTCTCCCCTGCCTGTACTGTGCCTCCAGAGGACATTGTAAAATGTTGTTTGACTTAACATCCAGATAATGTGACTCTCCTCTCCCGCCTGGGTCCTGCTCACCACAGAAGTTGTGACATGCTGCTGATTGCAAAACCTAGGTTATGTGACTGTCCTTCATATTCTAGGCTCTGGCAAGAGAAGGAATTATTACATATTGCAGATCCCAGTACCTAGGTGGAATAATTCTCTCCTTTTTTCTCTTCCTTCTCTATAGTGAGCTTGGTGACATAGTATTTGAGGCTTTACCCAGGTGATGTGACTCTTCACATTAGGCCCAGCCTACAAATGAGATTATACTGTATCACTGGCTCAGCACCCATGTGATGTGACTCTCTTGCCTTGTGCCTTCTCACAGGTGAAATTGTGACATGTACCTTGGTTAAGTACACAATCACTATAGTAACTCACAAACCTGGACTTAGCCAATAGATTTATTTTTTTAAGACAGAGTATCGCTCTGTAGGCCAGGCTGGAGTGCAGTGGTGCGATCTCTGGTCCCTGAAAGCTCTGCCTCCTTGGTTCACGCCATTCTCCTGCCTCAGCCTCCTGAGTAGCTGGGACTACGGGTGCCCACTACCACGCCTGGCTAATTTTTTGTATTTTTTAGTAGAGATGGGGTTTCACCATGTTAGCCAGGATGGTCTCAATCTCCTCACCTTGTGATCTACCCGCCTTGGCCTCCCAAAGTGCTGGAATTACAGACGTGAGCCACCACGCCTGGCCCAGTAGAGATATTTTGAATATCATGGCCAATATCATAGCCAGGGGTAAAGTCCTGGGTTTTTCACTTGTATAAAGTTCACAAAGGATTATAAGACTCAGGTATATCATATAAAGCCTTAATTGTGCAAAGAGTGTCATAACAGAGACCAGCAACCAGGTGAGAATGTGACTCTTATATGCAGACCTAGCTGACACGATTGTTATTCTCAAACATCAACAGGACCTAGGCATGAGGTCCTTAATCTCACACATAAAAAGAAGTTGAAGATTGAAATAATAGCTCTCACACATGGATCTGATTCACAGGTGGATTGGTAATATTTGAACCATTATTCAGCACCCATGTGGTGCTCTGACTCCCCTGCTGGAACACAATCTTCAAGTGAGATTTGGGCTTTTATACATGGATTTTGCCCAAGGTTGAGATTGTGACTCTTCTACTTCGGCCCAACTCATAGAAAGATTTGACTCACCTAAAAAAAGCCAGGACTTCTGTGTGATGTAAAAATTCTTTCTGAACCTTTCTGAGAGTGTGATTGTCACAGGTTAATTTTGCCCAGCACAGGAATAATTTGACTGTCTTTTCTAGGCCCAGGACACAGATGAAATTGTACCATATATAGAATAAACACCATCTTCCTTTGTTCTGTCCATAAAGATAAATTTTATGTATCACCGGGACCATCACCCAGGTGATGTGAATTGTCTGCCTGAAACCTACCTACAAAAATAATTGTGTTTTGTATCTACGTCCATCATGCAAGTGATATGACTTCCTTCTATTGCCTTGGCCCTGCGCAAACAGCGCATTGTGACACGTAATTCAGTACTGCACAAATGTGCCATGATTCTCCTTTTGGGGTTGTGCCCACAGGAAGCATTGGAACATATCACTTGGCTCAGCACATAGGTGTTGTTTCTTTGCTTTTCAGTGGAACCTGTCCACAAGGAGATTGTGACATATTTCTTGCCCAGCACCAAAGTGAGGTCACTCTCCAGCCTTGGTAGTGCACATATTGGCCATTGTGACATATATCTAGGTTGATTCCCTAGGTGAAGTGTGTCTCCTCTTCTGCCAAATTTCTGCCCACAGAGGAGATTTTGATATGACATTAAAACCAGAAACCAGATTATGTGACACTTCTGCCAGGGTCCTGCCCATAAGGTTGATTGTGACATCTCAATGGACCTGCACTCACGTGTGTGATGTGATTTTCTTGCCTTCTCTCTGGCAACAGGTCATATTGTGCCATATACTAAAGACCATAACAAGAGCCTAATAACAACTCATATGCCGGGATCCAGGATATGTGCATGATGGTGACCCTTATTCTTAGACATTTCCACAAATGTAATTGTGACATATACCTTTCACCAGCTCCTGAGTGACTTAATAATTCTGCTCAAGTGTAGCCCACAAATGAGATTTTGACAAATACCTGAGACAAGCACCTTAGTGATTTGACTCTTGGTATCTTAACAATGTCCTTAGGGTAGATTGTATCATATTTCTGGGCCCATCATCTGCATTTCATGACTCTCCTCTCCTGCCTGTACCATGCTTCCTTTGGTAATTGCAGCATTTCTAAAAACTGCATCCAAATGATATGAAATTTTTGCCTGGGCCCTGCCAACAGGAGGCATTGTAACATATTTTTGGGCTGATCATTTAGATCATATGACTCTCATCTTCTGCCTGGAAACTGCCCACAAGGGACATTGTGTCATAGAGCTGATCCTAGCACACAAATTTTGTGACATTTTGGACAGGACCCCATCTAAAAAGGGAATATTGGAATATTTTTGGCCCAGCATTTAGGTGATGTATTTGTTCTGCCTGCCTCACAACCACAGAGGGAAGTGGAACATATACCTAGGTATGGCTCACAGGCTTGATAATGACTCTTCTATGGGGAGTCAGCCAGTAGAGGATATTTTGACTCTTGTAACCAAGTTTAGGGACATGTGTGATATCCTAGATCACCTTATTGTACAAGGGTTACAAAAGATTACAATACTTACATATATTTTACAAAGTCTTTGAGTTCTACAGACAGAGTCATAGTAGGACTCTGCCCACAGGCAAAATTCTGTTTCTTGTATGCACACCCAGCTGAACAGTAAGGACTGTCATCATTTCACATGGATGAAGCCAACTGTCACACATAAAAGCAAAACGTGTGATATTGTAAATATCATCTGTGAAATTTTCTGAGACTGTGATCGTGATATAAATCTTTGCAAAGCACCTGGGTATTTTGGCTATCCAGAGTTGTTCAGGCGCATATATGGGATTGTGATATCTATTGAGGCCAACCTAGAGGTGATGTGACTCTCCTGCCTGGGCCCTTCCCTCAGTATGTATTGTGATATATCACTGGATCTAGCACCCAGGTGATGTTACTTTCTTGCCTGCACCATCCCCAACAAGATTATTGTGACATAGTTTTGTGTCTACCTCATAGGAGGTAATTCTCCTCTCTGTAATGGACCCTGCACAAAGAAAGGATTGTTATGTAATGCAAGGAAAGGCACACAGGTGAAGATATTTTTTGCCAGAGCTATGACAGAAGGAGGGCATCGTGACAAATCTCTGGGCCTATCACCTAGGTTATGTGGCTCTCCTGCTTTTACCCTGCCAACCTGGAGACTGGCATATTTCTATACCATGGACACAGGTGATGGTACTCTTTTGCCAGGTCTATGCTTCATAGTGGACATTGTGATAGATCTCTGGGCCTATCACCTAGGTGAAATGACTCCCTCCTTGGGCCCTACACATATTGTAGGCATGAGCAGAGAACCTGCACCAGGGTGATGTAACTCTCTTGCCCAGGTGCTGTCCTAACAGAGCCTAGTGACATATATCAAGACCCAGCACCCAAGTGATCTGGCTATTTTGCCTGGTTTCTGCCCACATGTTACATTGTGATATATTCCTAGGGAAGCACCTAGGCGATGTGACTCTTCTTGTCTACTGTGCCCTGCCTACTCAGGACATTGAGACATATCACTAAGCCCATGACCTAAGGGATATGACTCTTTTCCCCTACCTGTGCCTTTAAAATGGTGGCATTGTGACATATTGCTAAGCGTTGCATTTAGGTCATGTGACTCTCTTCTTTATTCTGAACTATGCCCACTAAGGGAAATTTTGTCCTATTCCCCCAGATGATGTCACTCTTCTGCCAGATTCCTGAATGAAGAGGGATTTATGTCAGACTGGTGGGCCTAGCACCCTGAAGATACTAGTGTCCTGCCTGTGTCAGAACCACAGAGTGTATTTTGACATATCCTCCTAGAAACGGTATTGTGACATATTTCTTGCCACATCATTTAAGTTAAGTGATGTTACTCTATTCCTAACTTTTGTCCACAAATGGGATTATGATATATGCCTTGCTTCAGTTCACAGGCATGATGGTCAAATTTATAATGGAATCTAGTCAATAGGAGAGATTTTATCTCTCATCACTATGAGTAAGGTAACAGGTAGAATGCTGGGTTTCAAATTTGTACAAAGTTCACAGAAGTTTTCAACACTGACTCATATTGTATAAACTCCTTTTGGTGGTACAGAGAGTTACATAACAAGGCCCAGCAAAAAGTTAAGATTGTGAATCTAAATTACACAGCCAGGTAAAAGTAAAAGTTGTCATCATACCACGTTTAGAAAGCACACTGTTGAGTTACTGAGTCTGACAAGGGAAAACAGTACCAAGGGGGAATTGTGACTCTCATATGTGGATCTGGCCACAGGTGTGATCATGACTCATTTTGGACAAGGCTCACAGGTATAAAAATGAGTCTTATTTCTGAACTCAGCCTAAATGGTAGATGTTGACTATCATACCTGGGTTTAAGGCAGTATTTAAGATTGTCAGTTCTCATAAGCCAGTGGGCGTCAGAGTAGTCTCTGACTGTCTTGCATGCTATATAAAGCCTTTGGATGTTGTAGAGTGTGTCATATCATGACCCAGCACACACGTGACATTGTGACTCATATATACACCAAGCTAGCACTTAACGGTGTCATCCTCAAAGATGAAAAGATTGCATCATATTACTGGGTCTAGTACTTAGATGTTAAAATTTTGCTTAAATTGTTTCCCATGTGTGCATTGCGACATATCATTGGGTCAGTATCATAATAATGTGACTCTTCTCTCTGGGTTCTGCCAAAAAGGGATATTATCACATATCTCCAACCCTATCAACTAGGTGATTTGTCTATTTTGCATGTGCTTTACCCTCAAGGAACTTTGTGACATCGTTGAATGTAGCATCTAAGAAATGTGACTCTTGTCTTCTGTCTAGGTTTTGCCCACTGAAGGAATTATAATATACTGATGAGTGGAAAACAAGGTAATGCAATGTTCCTCTTTATTCTGGAGTCTGCCAGAAGAGGAGATTATTACATAATGCTGAGCCCAGGACCTAGGTGGTGTAACTCTCCACTTTTTCTACAAACCTGTCTACAGTGGACATGGTGCCATATTATTTGAGGCTGTACCAAGGCGATGTGACTCTTCTGGCTTGGCCTGGCCTGCAAAGGAGTTTGTAAGGTATCTTGACTTCAGAATCCAGGTGATGAAACTCTCCTGCCTTGTTTCTGTACACAGGTGAATTTGTGACATATACCTTTGTTCAGCTCACATCACAAATAACTGTCATACCTAGACCCAGAAGAGAAAGAAATTTTGACTCTCATAGCTAATATTATGACCATAAGTAAAGTAATGGGTCTCCTAACTGTATAAAGTTCACAGAGGATTATGACACTCAGGCATATCACATTAAACCTGAGTGGTACAAAAAGTATCATAACACAGAACTGAAACCAGGTGTGATTGTGACTCTTGGATGCACACTCATCTTACCTGATTGTCATTCTCTCACAAGAACAGGGCCCAGAAGTAAGGTTCTAAATCTCACAAAAAAAAGAGCAGTTGAAAGTTGAAATTGGTCATCACATACACAGATCTGACACAGAGGTCACTTGGTGATGCATAATTCAGCAACTGAGGTTCCACGACTCCCTTACTGAAGCACAATCTTCATGTGGGATTGGGCATCTAATATATGGATCTTGCCCATTGTTGAGATTGTGACTTCTCAGCTTTGACCAACTCATAGGAGATATGAACTCACATACTCAAAGTCAGGACTTGTGTGGGACTGTGTAACTTATTTCTGAATATTGCTTAGTGTGTGATTAGGACATAAAAGTTAGCCCAGCTCCTGAATAATTTTACTCTCCTTTTTAGACCATGACCACAGATAAAATTGTGACATATGTGGAGTATACACCTAAGTCTAGGTGCCTGGGCCTGCCTACAAAAGGCACTTTTACATATCACTAGAACCAGCACTCAGGTAATGTGAATTATTTACCTGATTCCTGCCTGTAAATAGTATTTGGGCTTATATCTAGGCCCATCACATAAGTGATGTGACTCCTTTCTACTCTCTTGGCCCTGAACTTACGGTGCATTGTGACACAAAACTAGGTACTGCACCCAGGTGATTGGACTCTGTGTTTTGGATTATGCCAACAGGAATCTTTGTAACCTATCCCTTGGCTCAGCAGCTAGGTTATGTTTCTCCTCTCTTGCCTCACCCTGAACACAGGGGATATTGTGACATATTGCTAACCCCAGTGCCAAGGTGAGGTCATTTCAATACCTTGGTCCTGGACATAGAAGCTATTGTGACATATCTAGGTCGGTCGCCTAGATGAATTGAGTCTACTCTAATTTTAAGCATTACCCACAGGTGGAATTTTGGTATATTACTTAAACCAGCATCCATATGATATGACCCTTCTTTCAGGATTCTGCCTACAAGAATTGTGACATTTCATTGCACCAGCACCTACCCAGGTGACGTGACCTTCCTGCTTTTCCTCTTCCCACAGGTGATATTGTGCCATATACCTGAGAGCAGATCAAAGGACTAATCATTCTTCTTAAACCTGGAGCCAGGTTATACGCATGATGATGATTCTGATTCCTGGAATTTTCCACCAGTGTTATTGTGACATATACCTTTGCCCAGCTCATGAGTGATTGAATATTCTGCTTAAGTGCAACCCACACATTTGGACACTTACCTCAGCTGGGCACCTTGGTGATTTGACTCTGTTGTGTTAACAATATCCTCAGGGAGGACTGCTACATGTTGCTGGACTCATCATCTTGTTACCTGACTCTCCTTCCTAGACCCTGATTCCACTGGGGATTGTAGCATTTCCAAGCACTGCATCAAATTCATATGACTTTCTTGCCGGGTCCTTTCAACAGGAGAAGTTTTGACATAGCTTTGGGCCTATCGTTTAGGTGATATGAGTCTCTTTTTCCTTCTAGACATTGCCCACAAGGGGCATTATGCCATACATCTCAGTGTAAACCCAAGACATGCAACTTTTCTTCTAGGGAGTTGCTTACAAGGAGAATATATGAAAATTTCTGGCTCAGCATTTAGGTGACTTGTCTGTGTTGTCTGTTTCATTACCATAGAGTAAATTATGGCATATACCTAGGCACAGCTCACAGGCATGATAATGACTCTTATATGTAGACCCCACAAAAAGGAGTAATTTTGACTCTCATAACTTGCTTTAGTAACAAGAGTGATTAAATATCTTTCTGGTAAAAAAAAAGTTCAAATAAGATTACAACAGTCTCAGATATTTCTTAAACTCTTTGGCTTATACAGAGAGTGTCATAACAGAACCCAGCAGAAAAGGTGAAATTGTGAGTCGCATATGCACACCCTGCTGACAGTAAGAACTGTCACCATCTCACATATATGAAGCCAACTCTCACTCATGAAAACAGGACAGGTGTGATATTGTAAATCTCCTTTTGGGAATTTTCTGCAAGTGTGATTGTAATATAAGTATTTGTAGAGTTTTTGTGTGATCTGACACTCCATACTGGTTTCTGCCCACATATGTTATTGTGGTATCCACCCACCTCTGGGTGATATTTCTCTCCTTCCTGGGCCCTGCTGTCTGTAAGAATCATGACATATCTCCAGATCCAGCACCCAGGTCATATTACATTTTCCTGAGCCATGCCCACAGAAATTATTGTGACATTTCACTATGTCAACCACTTGGGTGACATAACTCTCCTCATTAGAATGGGCCTTTCACACAGTGGGGAATAGTAACATACAGCTGGGCCAGGCACACAGGGTATGGCACTCCTATGCTAGGCCCATGTCCTAAGAGGGACATTGTGAAAAATCGCTTGGCCTATCACCTAAGTTATGTTGCTCTCCTTTTGGGTCCTGCTTTCCCTGGATGGTGTCCTATTGCTAGGCTAGGCATCCAGGTGATCACACTCTTTCAACAGGGTTATGCCTCAAAGAGGACATTGTGACATAATTCTGGGCCTGTCATCTAGGTGGTATGACTTACTTCTTGGGCCCTGATCACATGGAGCCTTGTGACATAAGTGTGGAACCTGCATCTATTTGTTGTAACAGTCTTGCCTGGGTCCTGTCCTAAGGGAGCCTGGTGACACATCTAAGAACCCAGCATCAAGGTGATGTGGCTCCTCTACCTCCTTTCACCTCACATGTTAGATTATGTCATATACCTAGTGAAGCACCTAGGTGATATGACTCCTCTCTACTGCCAGATCCCCGCTTACTTGGGCCATTGGACTATATATGTAAGATTGTTTTTTAATTGAAGTGACTCTTTTCTTCTCCCTGAGCCTTAACAATGGGGTGTTGTGGCATATCGCTAAGGCTAATACTTATGCAATATGACTCTACTTTTGCTTCTGAACCATGCCCATGAAAAGAAATTTTGACATATTGGCAGGGGCCAGGAACCAGATGATATTTCTTTTCTACCTCACTCCTGCCTAAGGAGATAATTAGGGCATATTTCTGGGCCCCACGCCCTGATGATGTAACTCTCCTCCCTGTGCCAGAGTGACAGAAAGTATTTTCACATATTGTGGGCCTATTCTGTAGGTGTTTTTGCTCTTTTGCTCTCATTACTTTTCTGTTCCCCGCCCCCCACATTGGGATTGTGTCATATTGCTGGGTCCAGCACCCAGTTAATGTAACACTAATTACTGGACCCTGCCTAAAGAGAGCATTGTGACATATTGCTTGGCACAACACCTAAGTTGTGCTACCCTTCTTCAGCTCATATTCACAATAATAACTCTCATACCTAGTCCCAGCCAGGAATGATACTTCAACTATCATAGCTAGTCTTAGGACCATGGGTAAAGTCCTAGATCTCCCACCTGTAAATATTTACAGAAAAATATGCTACTTAGACATATTATATAAGGTCTGAGTGGTACAAAAAGTGTCATAACAGACACCAGCAACCAAGTGGCTATTGTGACTCTTGGATCCACACCCAGCTGACACAGTTGTCATTCTCACAAATAAACAGAGCCTATGAGTGAGATACTAAATATCACACACATAAGCAGTCAAAGCTTAAAGTTGTATTCTCATACATGAATTTGATCCATGGGTAGTTTGATGATGTTTCAACCATAATTCAGCATACCTGTAGTGCTTTGACTCATCTCTTGGAACAGTCTTCAAGTGGAACTGGGGTTCTTATACAGGGATATTGCCCATTGTTCAGATTGTGACTCCTGTACTTTGACCCAAATCATAGGAGCTGTTGACTTTCATACCAGAAGCCAGGACTTCTGTGGGACTGTAAAACTTATTTCTGAACATTTTTGACTGTGTAATTGAGAAGTATGACTTTGTCCAGCATCTGAGTGTTTTGTCTCTCCTTTGTAGGCCCAGACCGCTGTTGAAATTGTGACATATATGCATCAAGCATATATGCAATATACAACATCTTGTTTGGCAATGTGACAGAGGGCACTTTTTCGTATTACTGAGACAAGCACCCAGCTGATGTGAAATATTGGCCTGAACCCTGCCTACAAGGAGCATTGTGGCTTTTATCATGGTCCATCATGTAAGTGACATGAATTCCTTCTATTGCCTTTGCCTGACACTTGGGGTGCATTGTGACACATAACTGGTATCTCAACCCAGGTGATGTGACTCTTTTGTGCAAGGGCTCTGCCAATTGGAAAATTTGTAACATATCACTTGTCTCAGAACCTAGGTGATGTTTCTTCCCTCTTGCCTGGGCCCTGACAACCAGGGAGATTGTGACACATTGCTGAACCCAGCACCAAGGTGAGGTTACTCTCCTGTATGTTTGTGCACACAGGGGAAATTGTGACATATATCCAGGCCAATTGAGTATGTGAACTTTGTCTCTTGTCCTGCCTCAGCCCTCCCCATAGTGGGGATTTAGATATATCACTGAAACAAGTATCCTGGTGATGTGACTCATCTTCCGGAGTCCTGCCCCAAAAATACATTGTAATAATTCACTAGACCAGCACCCACTAAGGTGATGCGGCTGTCCTTTCTTCTCCTGGACCACAGGTGATATTATGCCATACACCTAAGACCAGGTCAAAGGCCTAATAACAACTCTTGTACCTGGAGCCAAGATGTATACAGGATGATGACTCTCATCCCTGAACATGTCCACAGGTGTTATAGTGACATTTACTTTTCTCCTGAGTGATTTAATAATTCTGCCTAATTCTAGCCCACAGATGGCATATTGACATGTACCTGGGCCAAGGACTTTGGTGATTTGACCCTTGTGTCTTCACAGTGTCCTCAGAAGGGATCATAACATATCTCTGGACACATAGTCTAGGTTATGTGACTCTCCTCTCTTGCCTCAACCCTGCTTCTAGTGAAGAGTATAACATTTCTAAGCCCTGCATCCAAATTACATGAGTCTCTTCCCCGGACCCTTTCAACAGGAGGCATTGTAACATATCTCTGGGCCCATAATCCAGGTGATATGACTCTCCTGCCTGGACACTCTCCACAAGGGGCATTATGCCATAGAGCTGGGCCTAGAACAAAAGGTTTGTGACTTTTCTGTCTCAAAGATAATATTGGAATATTTCTGGCTTAGGATATAGGTTTTGTAATTATCCTGACTATTTAATAACCACAGGAGGTGATGGTGACTTATACCAAGGCACAGCTCAAAGGCAAGATTATAACTCTTATACGTACACTCAACCGATAGGAGAAATGTTGACTCTCATAACTAGGTATAGGGACATGAGTGATGTCCAGCATTTCCTTCTGGTAAAAAGGTCACAGAATATTAAAACCATCACATATACTATATAACACCCTTGATTTTATAGAGAGTGTCATAACAAGGCCAAGCACCCACAGGAAATTTTTAGCCCATATGTGCTCCAAGCTGATTTAAAGATTTTCACAATCACAGATAGATGAAGGCAACTGTCTTACATTAAAGCAGGACATGTGTGGTATTTTAAATCTAATCCCTAGAATTTTATTTTATCATGACAGTGATATAATTCTTTGCCAAGCACCTGTGTGATTTCACTCATCAGAGTGGTTCCAGCCTACATTGGGAATTTTGATGTCTACCTGGTGATATGACTCTTCTGCCTGGAACCTGCTCTCGGTAAGAATTGTGACATCATTGGATCCAGCACCCAGATGATGTTACATTCTTGCTTGCACCATGCCTACAGACATCATTGTGACATATCACTCCATCAATCAGTTACAAGATGTAACTCTCCTCTCTGGAATGAGCCCTACACACAGGGCAATATAGTGACATATACCTTGGCCAGGCACACAGGTAATAATACCATTTTGCCAGGTCCATGACCAAAAGAGGGCATTTTGACATATCACAGGGCCCATCAGGCAGGTGATACGGCTCTTTTGCTTGGGATCTGCCTACTTGTATAGTGACACATTGCCAGGCCAAGCACAATGGTACTCTTTTGCCAGGGCCATGCTTTTAGGAAGGCTTTGTGACATATCCCTGGGCCTATCATCTAGGTGATATGACATCCTACTTGGCCCTGCCCACTTGGAACTTTGTAACGTAAGGGTGGAACCTGCACCTAGATGATATAACTCTCTAGCCTGAGCCTTTTCTAAGGGGAACTTGTGATTATCTAAGAACCCAGGACCAGGTGATGTGGCTCTTCACCATAATTTTGCCTGCATATTAGGTTGTGACATGTACATAAAGAAGCACCTAGGTGTGATATGATTCTCTTCTACCTGAGCCCTGTATATTGATGACATTGGGTCATATCTCTGAGCCCATGTTCTAAGTGATGTGACTTTTTTTCTGTCTGGGTCTTTACAATGGGAAGACTGTGACATATTGATGAGCCCAGCACTTAGGTAATGTGGCTCTTGTTTTGTAGCCAAAAAACACCCACAAACAGGACTTTTGCAGTATTTCAGATTGCAGCACTGGGATGATATTGCTCTTCTGCCTAGGTCATGCATAAAGAAGAAATTACAGCCTACTGCTCAGTCCTGCACCCTAATGATAAGATTCTCCTGCCTGTTCCAGAGCCATAGAAAGTGTTTTGACGTATCTCTGTTCAGTTGTGTAGGTGTTTTGGCTCTCATCACGTTGCTGGATTTTCTCCACTAGTGGTTGTATCATATTGCTGGCTCCAGCCCTCAGTTAATATGACTGTCTTTCCTAGACCCTGCCTTGATATATTCCTTGAAACAGGTCCTAAGGATGTTAACATCCTATTTTTTTTTTTGGCCCACAAATGGGATTATGACATATACTTTCCTTCATTCAAAAACATAATGATTAACCCTTATATTCAGACTCAGCCAAAAGGAGATATTTTGACTCTCACCATTGGGTTTAGGTTAATAGGTAAGGTCCTTCATTGCATATTTTTATAAAGCTCACGGAAATTAACAACACTAACTCATATTATAAAAACTTCTTATGTGGTACAGAGAGTTTCATAACAGGGCCCAGCAAAAATTTAATATTGTAACTCTTGACTATACATTCAAGTGAAAGTATAAGTTTTTCCCATTCTACCTTTACAAAGCCCATTGTTGAAGTCCTGATTGTAAGAAGTGAATACAGAAGAAAGTTGGAATTCTGACTTTCATAGCTTAATCTGACCACAGGTGGGATGGCGGCTCGTTTCTGGACCCAGCTCACAGGTATAACAGTACTCTCATCCCTGAAGCCAGCCTACAGGAGAGATGTTGACTGTCATACCTGTGTTTAGGGCAACAAAAAAGATTTTGCATCTAGACCTCAAGGAGGTATGCAACTCTCATGCATTTTGTATAAAGTTCTCAGATGTTGTAGAGAGTGTCATATAATGGCCAGCAAACAGGATAGATTGTGACTCTTATATACACAATTAGCTAACAGTTAATGGTGTCACCCTCAAAGATGAGGAGATTTTGTCATATCCCTTGGCCTAGTACCTCTGGGTTGAGACTTTTTGGGTTAATTCCTTTTCATAAGGCATTGTTACATATCACAGGTTCAAAATCATGATAATGTGACTCTTCTGCCTGTGCTCTGCAAACAGAATACTTTTATATACCTCCAGGCCTATTGGCTAGGTGTTTTGTCTCTGCTGCCAGTGCCATGTTTATGGTGGTCACTGATATTCCACTAGAATATCAGTGGAATTACTTCTAAGTAATGTGACTCTTATCTCCTGCCTTGATCCTTCCCACAAAAGAAATTGTAACCTACCACTAAGTGAAAACCTAGGTGACATGACTCTCCCCTTTGTCCTGACTTTTTCAAGGGAAGGAATTATTATATATTTCTGAGTCCAGCACCCAGGTGGTGCGATTCTCTGTTTTTCTTCATACCTGTCTTCACTTGGCATGGTAGCACATTACTAGGGGCTGTACCCTGGTGATGTAGCTCTTCTGCCTCATTTCTGCCCACATGTTAGATTGTGCCATATAACTTGGTAAATACTTAGCTTTCTCTATAATGGATAGGTTCTTGATAGATAGGAGGATGTTCATGTTCATTGATGGAAGATTTGAAACATAATCGAGATACAGGCTAGTTTACTCATGTGAGGAGAATTATGCCAGATATAAGAGAGGTTCTTTGGGTTATCTCTGGGACTTAGAAGTAAGGGGGCTATTCTGAGTCGTATTACTAGGGCAGTTATTATTATTAAGGGTAAATTTGATTAATAGTATTCATTGCCTGGAGGAAAGTTTATTGGAAAGAATACCTATCATGAGAATTATAGATGCAGTTGTATGTGTAAACAAATATTTGGTGGCTGCTTCTCTAGAGCAGAAACTTATTTTTTAATGGAGATTGAGGTAAAATCAATTATATTTATTTCTATTTCCATTCAAATGAGAAATCAGTGTAAGTCTAGCATTGTGATAAGGGTTTCTGTGAAAATAGTAATGGAGATAATAAGTTGAACTAATGGATTAATTACTTTGGGAAGGATATAACCAACATTTTTAGTGTATGGGCCTGATAGCTTATTTAGCTGACCTTAATTTAGGACGTGGTGTAATAGGTAGCACAGAGAATTTTGGATTCTCAGGTGCAGGTTCAATTCCTATATTCTAGAGATAAGAGGATTTTAACACCTATTGTTTACTCTGTCAAAGTAATTATTTTGTCAGACATATTTTCTTTGGGGTGTAATGCTCAAAATTAGGACAGACATTGTGATATATGCAGAATGCTAGTGTAAGTGATAGAAATTTTTTTTCATAGAAAATGTGTGAGGTGTTCACAGTTAAATTGGAGGTATGCTCTTCCAATTTATAAAAACAAGGTGGGTAAAAGAAGGTCTTTGTAATAAAATTTGTGATATAGAGTTCTGGTGAATATACAGTGTGTAGTGTATTCCATCAGTGAATGGTTGAATCAGTCCGTAGGACCTACAGTGTTAAGTCTTTTGCATTGTTGTATATAGCCTAAGATATTTTGTTCAATGAGCGTAAAGAATGCTATAGCAATTAGAGTGGGAGTAATAAGTTGGACAAAGTTAATTATAGGCATGTTGTTAAGAAGAGGAGTTGAACCTCTGATTATAAACTTTAAGTTTTATGAAACTGCCAGGTTCTGCCATCTTAACAAACCCTGCTCTTGGGTAGGGTGCATGGTGATATATTAGAGTAAGATAACATCATCTGTGGGGTGAGGGTGCTTTATGAAGTGGGCCCTGTTTCTCTTGTCCTTTCATACTAGGAGAAAAGTTAAATAGATAGAAACCGACCTGGGTTACTCTGGTCTGAACTCAAATCATGTAGGACTTTAATCACTGAACAAAAGAATCCTTAATACTGGCTACACCATTAGCATGTCCTTATCAAACATGAAGGTCAATAGGTCATAATCCTATTCTTGATATAAACTCTAGAATAGGATTATGCTGTTATCTCTAGGGTAACTTATTTCATTGATGAAATTATTGGATCAATGTGTGTCAACTCTCTTAGACTAGTGCAGTCTTAGTTTAGGTTGTGCAAAGTTTAAATTATGGTCCAAGGTCACCATAACCCAAATTTTTAATGCAGCGATAGTACACTAGGGTCTGGAGGATTTTTTGAGTTTTTATTTACATTAATGAATTAAAGTTCCATAGGGTCTCCTCATCTTATTTGTTTATATCCACATCTTCATGGATAGGTCACCAATTTCACTGATTAAAAGTGAGAAACAGATGAACCCTCATATGGCCATTCACACAAGTCCCTATTTAGGGAACAAGTAACTATGCTACCTTTGTCCATTCAGGATACCATGGTCATTGAACATTTTTCACTGGACAGGCAGTGTTTGTAATACTGAT
Source organism: Homo sapiens (assembly GCF_000001405.40). NCBI lineage: Eukaryota > Metazoa > Chordata > Mammalia > Primates > Hominidae > Homo > Homo sapiens. The sequence continues at coordinate 8,370,869 of NC_000024.10, read as the reverse complement.
AATGCTAGAGGTGAAGTTTTTGGTAAACAGCCAGAGTAAGATTTGCTGAGTTCCTTTTAGTTTTTTTAATCATTCCTTAGAGCATACCTGTGTTGGATTAACAGTATAAATAATAGGGTGCTTATTATATCAATTATTAATATTGGGCTATTAACTATCAGTGAATTATTCCAGTCTCACATAAGCTTATCCAAAGAAGAATATTTTCATGTTACTTATATTAACATTATTGCTTATATTAAGTAATAAGTTAGTCCAAAGTGATATTAAAGTTTAGTGTGGTGATTAGAATTTAAGGTAATTGGATGTTTAGCTTGAATGCTTTCCTAATCGGGGCTGCTTTGAGGCCAATTATGGTGGTAATATTTTTTAGTTTCTCTAGGAAAGTTGTTTCCTAAGGTCTAAAGAGCTGTCCCTCTTTAGAATAACATTTAAACTTACAGGGAGTTTAAGTAATTCTGTGGGTAAGTATAAGTTGAACTAAGATTCTATCTTGGACCACCAGATATCACCAGTCTCAGTAGGCTTGTCACTGCTACTCATGAATCTTCCTACTCTGTGCTCTTTTAGCTGTTCTTGAGTAGCTAGTCCGGTTTGGGGGACTTGGCTATGGTTCTCTGTGTAAAGTTATTTCTAGTCAATACATTATTCAGAATATAAAAGGGTTTGTTTTTGCCTTCTAATGCTTTATTCAGTTTTTTCATCTTTTCCTTATGGTACTATGTCTATTGCACCAGGGTAAAAAAATTTATCACCTATACTTTTGTCTAAGATAAATAGTATGATTAAGATAGTTTATTATATTTTTAGAGAGGTTTGGGACTAGAGCTGGCTCAATGTGATCAGGTTGTGATGACATCTTCTGGGAGTAAGCCAGATGCTTTGGGTTAAACTACACTTTTGTTTGTCCAAGCACACTTTTCAGTATGCTTACCATTTTGTCATGGAGCTCCTTTATAAGTGCATGGAGAATTTTCAGTAATAGTAATTTCTAGAATAATATTTGAGGAGGGTGACAGGTGGTATATGCATGCTTCATGGCCTTATTCAACCAAGCACTCTGCTCTTGGTTTACTGCTAAATTCTCCTTGAGCCCTTAGAATTCATAGAAGTTGTTATGAGATATTCTGGGTACAGAAAATGTAGTCCACTTCTTGCCAGCTCAGGAGCTACACCTTGATCTAACATTTTTGTGGGTATGCTTGTGCTTACTCTATAACCATTTTAGGGTTTTCTAAAGAGGGGGATATATAGGTTGGGGGCAAGAAGTGGTGAGGTATATCAGGTTTTATTGATTAAAAAACAGGCTCCTCTAGAGGGATATAAAGCACCGCTGAGTCCTTTAATTTTTTTTATTATTATACTATAAGTTTTAGGGTACATGTGCACAATGTGCAGATTTGTTACATGTGTATACATGTGCCATGTTGTTGTGCTGCACCCGTTAACTTGTCATTTAGAATTAGGTATATCTCCTAAGGCTATCGCTCCCCCCTCCCCCCACCCCACAACATTCCCCGGTGTGTGATGTTCCCCTTCCAGTGTCCACGTGTTTTCATTGTTCAATTCCCACCTATGAGTGAGAACATGTGGTGTTTGGTTTTTTGTCCTTGCAATAGTTTGCTGAGAATGATAGTTTCCAGCTTCATCCATGTCCCTACAAAGGACATGAACTGATTATTTTTTATGGCTGAATAGTATTCCATGGTGTATATGTGCCACATTTTCTTAATCCAATCTATCATTATTGGACATTTGGGTTGGTTCCAAGTCTCTGCTATTGTGAATAGTGCCCCAATAAACATACGTGTTCATGTGTCTTTATAGCAGCATCATTTGTAATCCTTTGGGTATATACCCAATAATGGCATGGCTGGGTCAAATGGCATTTCTAGTTTTAGATCCCTGAGGAATCACCACGCTGACTTCCACAATGGTTGAACCAGTTTACAGTCCCACCAACAGCATAATGGTGTTCCTATTTCTCCACATCCTCTCCAGCACCTGTTGTTTCCTGACTTTTTAATGATCGTCCTTCTAACTGGTGTGAGATGCTATCTCCTTGTGGATTTGATTTGCATTTCTCTGATGGTCAGTGATGATGAGCAATTTTCCATGTGCTTTTTGGCTGCATAAATGTCTTCTTTTGAGAAGTGCTGTTCATATCCTTCGCCATCCCTGGGATGTATGGCTGGTTCAACATATGCAAATCAATAAATGTAATCCAGCACATAAACAGAACCAAAGACAAAAACCACACGATTATCTCAATAGAAGCAGAAAAGGCTTTTGACAAAATTCAACAACGCTTCATGCTGAAAACTCTCAATAAATTAGGTATTGATGGCATGTGTCTCAAAATAATAAGAGCTATCTATGGCAAACCGACAGCCAACATCATACTGAATGGACAAAAACTGGAAGCATTCCATTTGAAAACTGGCACAAGACAGGGATGCCCTCTCTCACTACTCTTATTCAACATAGTGTTGGAATTTCCAGCCAGGGCAATCAGGCAGGAGAAGGAAATAAAGGGCATTCAATTAGGAAAAGAGGAAGTCAAATTGTCCCTATTTGCAGATGACATGATTGTGTATCTAGAAAACCCCATTGTCTCAGCCCAAAATCTCCTTAAGCTGATAAGCAACTTCAGCAAAGTCTCAGGATACAAAATCAATGTGCAAAAATCACAAGCATTCTTATACACCAACAACAGACAAACAGAGAGCCAAATCATGAGTGAACTCCCATTCACAATTGCTTCAAAGAGAATAAAATACCTAGGAATCCAACTTACAAGGGATGTGAAGGACCTCTTCAAGGAGAACTACAAACCATGGCTCAGCGAAATAAAAGAGGATACAAACAAATGGAAGAACATTCGATGCTCATGGATAGGAAGAATCAATATCGTGAAAATGGCCATACTGCCCAAGGTAATTTACAGATTCAATGCCATCCCCATCAAGCTACCAATGACTTTCTTCACAGAATTGGAAAAAACTACTTTAAAGTTCATATGGAACCAAAAAAAGAGGCTACATTGCCAAGTCAATCCTAAGCCAAAAGAACAAGGCTGGAGGCATCACTCTCCCTGACTTCAAACTATACTACAAGGCTACAGTAACCAAAACAGCATGATACTGGTAATAAAACAGAGATATGGGCCAATGGAACAGAACACAACCCTCAGAAACAATGTCACATATCTACAACTATCTGATCTTTGACAAACCTGACAAAAACAAGAAACAGGGAAAGGATTCCCCATTTAATAAATGTTGCTGGGAAAACTGGCTAGCCATATACAGAAAGCTGAAACTGGATCCCTTCTTTACACCTTATACCAAAATTAATTCAAGATGGGTTAAAGACTTACATGTTAGACCTAAAACCATAAAAACCCTAGAATAAAACCTAGGCAATACTATTCAGGACATAGGCATGGGCAAGGGCTTCATGTCTAAAACACCAAAAGCAGTGGCAACAAAATTCAAAATTGACAAATGGGATCTAATTAAACTAAGGAGCTTCTGCACAGCAAGATACACCACCATCAGAGTGAATAGGCAACCTAGAGAATGGGAGAAAATTTTTGCAACCTACTCATCTGACAAAGGGCTAATATCTAGAATCTACAATTAACTCAAACAAATTTACAAGAAAAAAACAAGTCCTTTAAATTTTAAGCTGTTGCTTGTAGTATTCTGGTGGTTTTGTTAATGTAACTATTAGAGTTTAGGGCTGAGCATAGTGTGTTATCTAATTCCTGTTTGGGTCTTGGCTATTGTGCCTTCAGGATAATAAAACCACCTTCATAGTATATTGTTTTTCAGCTGGAGTTTTTTACAACTTAGATGGAGTTTAGCCTTAGTGAGAGCAGAACTTACACACTCTTTATGCAGTGTTCCATTAGCTTGGGTTAATCGTATGGCCATGGTGGCTGGCATGAAACTGACCAGCCCTGGATATCAGCATAGCTTAGTTAAATATTCATTTATTACTAAATATTTATCACTGCTGTTTCCCACAGGGTTGTGATTGAGCAAAGTGTTTTGAGCTGCATTTGTGCATCCTTGATTCTTACTCCTTTTGATCCGGGTGATCTATAAGGCATTTTCACCGGCTCAGGGATGCTTGCTTGTGTAATCTTACTAGGATCTAATAGAAAGGCCTGGACTAAATCTGTTTGTTTATGGGATTGTCTAGACCCATCTAGACATTTTCAGTGTCTTGCTTTGAAATAATAAAGCTATGTTAACTGTATAGATACTTAAGTCTAAAATTAGAATATGAGAAGGAGAGAAGTAAATATAAGTAGTCATTTACACTTCTGAGAATTCACGGCCTTTGAAGTTGAATTGGCAGAGATTGAGTTGAGAGGATTACTCATAATTAGAATATAATTGATTTAAGGTATAATACATGGGGTGGCGCTTTTAGAGAGATATGCTCAGGTTATTATATTAGTGTTAAGATGGAAGTTTAGTTATTATATTCATTATATAAAATGGAGGCTTGATTTGTTGGGTCTTAAGATTTTTAGGAAAATTTCCTCAATCCTGGGGTAGAAGTTGGGGTATTCATGGTTAAAATATGATTTTTGAGTTCTAGCTGTGTTCCAGTTTAGTCTCTTGTTTTTGGAATTTGGCAAAGATAAATTTACCTTGGTTGATGGTAAAGTCAGTGATGAGGGGAGGAGGAGTTTGTGGATTTAATCAGAAGTAGTTCTTGAAAGTGAGCATACCTTCATGAACATACGTGCCTAATGACTAATTGTTATGTCTTTTAAGCAAGAATTAATTAACAGCTATGGTTCCTGTGCCAGCCCAGAATATTCAATACGAGCTCAGTTTCTACCATTGATTTGGCAGGAATTAAATCTGAATTCATGTACAGCAGATTCAGAGGAGACTAGGCTTTCCTTGATGGTGAGTGACAGCAGCCTCCAAAGTTAAAAATATCAAATGCATGATAGTGCTCCCATTACTGGTTAATATGGTGGTAGCCTTTAGTCTATCAATATGTCTTATTTAAGGGGAACATGTGAGTGATCTTAGTTTCATGGTCCTGAAGTAAGAACCAGTTGCCAGTTATACTTTCAAAATAGTCAGCCACATGTGTTAAGGGCCCAGAATGAGGTGGGTAGTACTCCCAATTAGGATGGTGATTTCACAGAAGTTGGTAGATTAAGAGATCAGGATTTGGTAGAGGATATCCATGTTGACAAGAGATTTCTTGACAGAAATGTGTTATGTCTGAAAAATAAATGTAGGCACTATGTCATATTAAGGATATCTAATATAGGTCAATATTCATATAAATTAGATTTGTATTGTACTGTCAATAATAGTAGATATAGCATAGTTGATTAAGGGAAGGTTAATACATGCTTATATGTATGTGGAGCAGATTTGTAATGTATCTGCATGTATGAAAGTATGAATAAACAATTATAGTAATACATACTATTCATGGGGATAGCAGTAATGTACAAAATACATAAAAGCACTAATGTATTAGTGTTAGTTGATTAATACTGACATAGTAGTTAAAGTGTGTGCTGTAAAAAAATTCAGGGATAATTTAATTAGAATTTCAGCTTTGGGAGTTGACGGTGAAGTAGAAATGCTTTTTTCTTGAGTTGTCCTGTAGAGGGGATTCTCCATTTCTGGTTTAGAAGATCAGAGTATTGAATTATACTACAAGAGAATTTTCATTTAAATAATTTATTTTCAATTAGGGTAGTGAGCAGCATAAGGGTGAGGATGGTAGAGAAGTACATGATAGATGCTGTCTGTCTGATGTCAATAAAAGGGTATTTGATGGCTTCCCTCCGATTCATGTGAATGTAAACAGAACAGCCACTAGGATTCAGAATATGCATTGATTTAATGGCTGGCATATGATGCCTTGTTGCTTAGACTTGTGAAGTACAGAAATAACTGCTTAACTGCTAGAATGAGAGTGGATGATATGAGGGCCAGTACACTTCCTAGGTTGTTAGGGATAGGTAGTAAGATTGGGTACACCAAAAAAAGGTATTGGTTAATGTGGGGTGGAGTATTGAGGGGGTTGGCTAAACTCTAATTATCTGGGTTGTTAAGGAGGTCTGGTGAAAACAGTACTAGAGTTATTAGAAGGAGAAGAAAAATTAAACCTAGATATCTTTGGTTTTATAGTAGGGGTGGAGCATGATTTTGTCTGGGTCTGATGAAACTCCTAAAAATCCTCTCTCATGCAAGAATAAAAGGTGAATCGTTGCTAGAGCTGTAGGGTTGAAAAGTAAGATGAAATTGAATCTGAATAGTTGTTTGAGGGTGGCCTTGTTCACTGAGAATCTGCCTCAGATTCATTGTACCAGGTCAGTTCCAATATATTGTATGGCTGATAGCAGATTTGTAATTACTGTAGTGCCTCAAAATGATATTTGTCCCATGGGAGCATGTAGCCTATGAATGCTGATGCTATAGTTGTGAATAGGAGGATAATGCCAATATTTCAGGTTTCCAGGAATAGAAATGATTTGTAATATAAGCCTTGGTCAACACATAAGAAGAAGCAGATGAAAAATATTGAAGGGCCATTGTCCTGAAAATAACAAACCATTCAACTGCAGTTTACATCTTGGCTGATATGAGCAACTGAAGGAAATGCAGTTGAGGTGTCTGAAGTATAGTGCAGGGCCAAGAATAATCCTGTGAGGATCTGGAGAATTAGGCAGCCACCAAGAAGTGATCCAAAGTTTCATCATGTAGAAATGTTAGATGGTGTGGAAAGATCAATGAATTAGTAGTTAATAATTTTATTAGCAATGTGTTTTGTGAGTATTGGTCATTAATGTTCTTATAGTTGAAGTACAACGATGGTTTTCATATCATTAGTCATAGTTATAGTCCATGTGAGAATAATGTAATATGCTTTATTTTTATTAAGTATTCCCTTGGCTGTAAGGTTTGTAGGTTTTTCTTCAAAACTTTCTTCTATTTATGGAGGCCTAGAGTTAATTATTAGTGATGCTGTGTGTTGTGGAATTGTGTTGAATTTTCTTGGGGGTTTCATAGGGTCAATAGTCTTTTTTTTATTTATTTAGGTGATATGATGGTTGTTTTTGGTTATACTGTGGCTATCACTATTAAGGAATATCCTGAAACATGAGGGTCAACTACTGATATTTGAGGGTCTTTATTATTAGAATTATTAAGAGAGTTGGCATTGGTCCAATGAATATTTGAGTATGATGGGGTGGTGGTCACAATTAATTTTAATAGCATAGAAAGATAATTATTGAGGGTGAGAGGTTGGGGTGGTCGTGTGAGGATTCTGTGGGAGCAGCTGACTCGTCTAGGAGATGTAGGCCTACTACCAAGGTGTTGAGATGTTTTGGCATAAATTCCTACATACAGATGAACTGTGACATATCTCCAGGTTAGAATCATAATAATATGACTCTTCTGCCTGGACCCTGACAATGGGGAATATTATGACATATCTTTTGGCCTGTAAGCTAGGCAATTTTTCTCTCCTGCCTCTGCCCCCAGAGGATATTCTGAAATATCATTTGGCTAACTAATCTAGGTCATGTGACTCTCATGTCTTGCCTGGGTCCTGACGACAAAAGAAATTATGACATACTACTGATTGCAAAACCTAGGTGATGTGGCTCTTCTTCATATTCTAGATTCTGCCAAGAGAGGGAATTATTACATATTGAAGATCCCAGCACCTTAGTGGAGTGACTCTCCTTTTTTTCTTCTTCCCTGTCTGTCATGGGCTTGGTGACGTACTATTTAAGGCTTTACCTAGGTGATATGACCTTTCTGAATAAGACCAGGCTGCAAATGATATCATAGTGTATCACTGGCTCAGCACTCAGGTAATGTGACTCTCCTGCCTTGTCCCTGCTCACAGGTGAAATTGTGACATATACCGGAGTTAAATACACATTTATAATAATATCTGTCACACCTGGACCCAGCCAGTAGAGATATTTTGACTCTCAGCCAGTCTTATGGTCATGGGTAAAGTCCTGGATTTTTCACTTGTATAAGGGTCATAAAGGATTATAGCCCTCAGGCCTATCACATAAACACTTAGTGGTACAAAGTGTCATAACAGAGACCAGCAACCAGTTGAGAATGTGACTCTTGTATGCACACCTATCTGACATGATTGTCATTCTCAAACTTGAACAGGGTCTAGGAATGAGGTACTATATCTGACATATAAAATAGTCAAAGGTTGAAATAATTACTCTCATACATAGATCAGATTCACAGGTGCTTTGGTAATTTTTTTTATTGAACCACCGTTTTTAATAGCAAGTGGATTGCAAATAATCCAAATATTCAATAACACAGAATAGTTAAATAAACTATGAAGATTAACACAACCGATTATTATGCAGCTGTAAAAAGAATTAGAAAAATCTCTATATATTACTATGGTTACTGTGGAATAAACTTTAGGATATATATATACTCTTGTATGTGTGTGAGTGTGTATTTGTGCTTATGTTTTATTTAATTTAGTATTGGTTTGTTTCAGAGACAAGTCTCACTCTGTTGCCCATGCTGAAGTGCAGTGGGACAATCACAGCTCACTGTAACCTCAAACTCCTGGGCTCAAGCGATCCTCCCTCTGCAGCCTCTTGAGTAGCTAGGACAACAGGCATGCACCACCATGCCTGGATAATTTTTCAATTTTTTGTAGAGATAGGGTCTTGCTATGTTACCCAGGGTGGTCTTAAAATCTTGGCTTCAAGTGATCCTCCTGTCTTGGCCTCCCAAAGTGTCGGGATTGAAGGAGTGAGCAATATTTAAATCATGATTCAGCACACCTGTCATGCTGTAATTCCCCTACTGAAACACAATCTTCAAGTGCGATTGGAGTTCTTACACATAAATCTTACCCATTGTTGAGATTGTGACTCGACTACTTTGACCCAACTCATAGAAAGAGTTGACTCACATATACCAAAACTCATATACTCACATATACAAAAACTCATAGAAAGATTTGACTCACATGTACAAAACCAGGACTTGTGTGGGATGTGAGACTTATTTCCAAATATTACTGAGAGTGTAATTAAGACAACAGCCTTTGCCCAGCCCATGAATTATTTGATTGTCTTTTCTAGGCCCTGATCACAGGGTCCTGCCTACTAAACTAATCATGACATAATGCTGAGTGCATTATGGTACTGACATAATGCTGAGTGCATTATGTTGCATTAAGTAATGCAACATGATGCTGAGTGCAAAACCTAGGTAATGCAACTCTTCCTTTTATTATGGAGTCTGCAAAAAAAGGAGATTATTACATATTGCCAAGCCCAGCACCAAGGTGGTGTGACTCTCCTCTTTTTCTTCACACCCTGTCTACAGGGAACATGGTGTCATATTATTTGGGGCTTTACCCAGGTGATATAACACTTCTGACTTGCCCTGGCTGCAAAGAAGATTATAATGCATCCTGAGCTCAGAATCTAGGGGATGAGACCCTCCTGCCTTGTTTCTGCCCACAGGTGAAATTGTGACATATACCTAGGTTCAACTCACATGCACTAATATAACTCTCATACCTGGATCCAGAAGGGAGAGATATTTTGGATCTCATAGTCAGTCTTACAGCAATAAGTAAAGTAATTGGTCTCATAATTGCATGAATTTCACAGAGGATTATGAAACTCAGGCATATCATATAAATCCTGAGTAATACAAAGAGTGTCATAACAGGGAACAGCAGCAACCAGATGCAATTGTGACTCTTGGTTGCACACCCAGCTGACCTCATTTTTATTCTCTCACAAGAACAGGTACAAATAAAGTACTAAATCTCACACAAAGTTGTACTCAAAGGCCGGGCACAGTGGCTAATGCCTATAATTCCAGAACTTTGTGATATAAATCTATGGCAAGCACCTGCATGATTTCATTCTTCAGACTGGATCTAGACTATATATGGGATTTTGATATCTACATGGGTCAACCTTGAAATGATGTGACTCTTCTGCCTGGATCATGCTTAGCAAGAATGGTGACATCACTGGATCCAGCACCTAGGTGATGTTACATTCTTGCCTACACCATGCCCACAGACATCATTGTGATATATGACTGTGTCCATCATCTAGAAGACATAACTCTCCTCTCTGGAAGCGGTCCTGCAGCACAGGGAAGAACAGAGACATATTTCTAGGCCAGGCACACAGGTGATGATACTCTTTTGCAAGGGCCATGCTCAAAAAAGGGCATTTTTACATATCACAGAACATATCATGTAGGTGATATGGCTCTTCTGCTTGGGACCTGCTGACTTGAATAGTGACATATTGCTAGGCAAGGCACAAAAGTGATGGTACTCTTTTGTCAGGGCCATGCTTTAAGGAGGGCTTTGGAACATATCTCTGGGCCTATCACTTAGTTGATGTGACTTCCTGCTTGGTTCTGCCCACATGTATCATTGTGGCATAAGGGTGAAACCTGCATCTAGGTGATGTTACTCTCTTGTCTAGGTCCTTCTCTAAGGGTGACTTAAGAATATCTCATGACCCAGGACAAAGTGATTTTGCTTTTCTACCTGGGTTGTGCCAACATATTAAATTGCAACATATACCTAAAGAAGCACCTAGGGAATATGACTGTCTTTTTCTGCCTGAGCCATGCCTGCTGGTTACATTGGGCCATATCTCTGAGCCCATAACCTAAGTGACATGACTTCTTTCTGGGCCTTTACAATGGGAATATTGTGACATGTTGATGAGCCCAGCACTTAGGTAATATGACTTATGTCTTCTTGCTGAACAATGCCCACAAACAGGACACTTACTGTATTTCAAGGCCCAGCACCCAGATGATGTTACTCTTCTGCCTAGGTCATTTATAAAGAGGAAATTATGGCATATTGCTGGGCCTAGCACACTAATCATGAGACTCTCCTTTCTTTGCCAGAACCATAGAAGATATTTTGACATATCTTTGTCCCATTCTGTAAGTACTTTGGCTCTCATCATATTGCTAGGATTCTTCCACTTGTGGTTGTATAAAATTTCTGGCTTAAACTGACAGTTAATGTCAGCCTCATTTTTAGGCTCTGCCTAGAGAGGGCATTGTGATATATGGCTTGGCAGAACACTTAAAGTGATGTTAACCTTCGGCCTACTTTTTTGCCCAGAAATGGGATTGTGACATATACCTTGCTTCAGTTCAAAACCTAATGATCAAGCTTATATTGGGATTCAACCAATAGGAGATAGGATGCCTCTCACCCCTAGGATTATGTCAATAGGTAAGGTTCTTCACTGCAAATGTGTACAAATCTCACAGAAGTTTACAACACCAACTCACATCATACAAACTTCTTGGGTGGAACAGAGTGTTTTATAACAGAACCCAGCAAAAAGTTAAGATTATGACTCTAGACTACAAACTAAGGTGAAAGTAAAAGTTGTTACTATTCTACATTTACAAGGCCCACTGATGAGGTCATGAGTCTAACAAGTGAATAAAGCACAAAGTTGGAATTGTGAATTTCAGAAATGAATCTGGCCACAGGTGTGATGGTGACCCATTTCTGGACCCAGCTCACAGGCATAATAATGGTCTCATCCCTGAAGCCAGCCTATAGGAGAGATGTTGACTGTCATACCTGGGTTTAGGGCAATATGTAAGATGGTGAGTTCATATAACCATATAGGCCTCAGAGTTTTGCTACTCTCATGCCTCTTGTATAAAATTCTCAGATGTTGTAGGGAGTGTCATACTATGGTCAGCACACACATGAGATTGTGATGCTCATATACACAACTATCTAACGTTAATGATGTCACCCTTAAAGATGAGGAGATTGTGTCATATCCCTTGGCCTAGTATCCCGGTGTTGAGTCTTTTTTGTTTAAATTCCTCTCCATAAGAGCATTATGGGTCAAAATCATGATAATGTGTGTCTTCTGCCTGGGCTCTGGAAACAGGAATTTTCACGTATGTCCATTGTAACATATTATTTGAGTGCAAAACCTAGGTGACCTGTCTCTCCTATTCGTCTTGAACTCTGCCAAGAGAGAGAATGATTAAATATTGCTGAGCCCAGAAACCAGATTGTGTGATTCTCTTTTTTTCTTTAACCCATCTACATTTGGCATGCTGACACATTACTTGAGGCTGTACCCAAGTGATATAACTAGGGAAGCACCTAGGTGATATGGGACTCATTTTCTACTTCGTACATGCCTAGGAGGGACACTGAGATATAGCTCTGAGCCCACGACCTACATGAAATGGCTCTCTTCTTCTGCCTGGTCTTTACATTGGGGGAATTGTGACATATTACTGATACCAACACTCAGGTTATATGACTCTTGTTTTTTTTCCTCAAACCTTGCTCACAAACAGAAATTTTGACCTATGGCAGAGGCCAGCACCCAGTTAATGATACTCTTTTTCCTGGTCCAGCATACAGAAAGAATTATGACATATTGCTGTGCCCAGCATCCTGATAGTGTGACTCTCATGCCTGTGCCAAAGCAACAGAAGGTATTTTGACAGATTGTGGGCCAATTATGTAGGTGTTTTGGCTCTCATCCCTTGGCTGTTTTGTTGTTGTTGTTGTTTGTTGTTTTTGTTTTTGTTTTTCCACATGTTGGATGGTTCATATTGCTGAGTCTAGCACCCATTTAATGTGACTCTAATTCCTATGCTCTTCCCAGGGTGGGTATTTTCACATGTTGTTTAACACAGCTGCTAAGTGATGTTGCCCTCCTACTTAGTTTTTTGCCCTCAAATGGGAATATGGCATATGCCTTACTTCTGTTTAAAGTATGATTGTCAAACTTGTAGTGAAATTCAGACAATAGAAGATATGCTGCCTTTCATCTCTAGGCTTAATTGAATAGATAAGGTCCTGAGTTGCATATTTGTACCAAGCTCACAAAACTTTACAATACTAACTCATAATGTATAACCTCCTAGTGTTGTACAGAGGGTTTCATGATGGGCAGCTGCAAAAAGTTATGATTGGGACTCTCAATTACACTCCCAGATGAAAGCAAATGTTCTCCCCATCCCACATAACATAACCACACTGTTCAGGTCCTAGTCTAATAAATGAGTAAAGTACAAACCTGTAATTGTGACATTCATATGTGGATCTGGCCACAGATGGGATTGTGACTCATTTCTGAATCCAGCTCACAGGCATAATAATGAGTATTATTCCAAATACAGCTTACAGAAGAGATGTTGACTATTAAGCCTAGGATTAAGGCAATATTTAAGATTGTGAATGCATACAAGCTTGTAGGTTTCAGTGGTTTGCAACTCTCATGAATGCTGTATAAAGCCTTCAAATGTTGTAGAGTGTCATACAATGGCCCAGAAAACATGTGAAATTGTGACTTTCATATACACACCAAGTTCACAGTTAATAGTGTCGCCTCCAAAGATAAGAAGATTTGTCATACTCCTAAGCCTAATACCCAGGTGTTGAGAATTTTTAGCTTAAATTCCCTCCCATGGGTACATTGTGACATAACGCTGGCTTAGAGTCATAATAATGTGACTCTTCCACCTGGACCCTGCCAATGGGGAATATTGTCACTTATCTCTGGCCCTGTAAGCTAGGTAATTTATATCCAATGCCAGTTCCCTGCCCTCAGACAACATTGTTAAATATTGTTTGACAACACCTAGGTAATGTGACTCTCATCTCCTATCTGCGTCCTGCTAACTAAGGAAATGGTGACATACTGATTATTGAAAAATCTAGGTTATATGACTCTCCTTCATATTCTAGACTCTGCCAAAAGTGGGCTTTATTACATATTGCAGAGCCCAGTAAATAGATTGAGTGACTCTTTTCTCTTTCTTCTTCCCTTTCTATAGTGGTCTTGGTGACATACTATTTGAAGCTGCACCCAGGTAATGTGACTCTTCTGACTAGGTCCAGCCTCAAAATTAGATTATACTCTATCACTGGCTCAGCACCCAAGTGATGTGCTTCTCCTGCCTTGGCCCTGCTCACAGGTGAACCTGTGACATATACCTGGTTTAAGCAAACATGCACCATAATAACTCTCATACCTGAACCCAGCCAGCAGATGTATTTTTACTGTCATAGTCACTCTCATCGCCATGAGTAAAGTCCTGTGTTTTTCACTTATATAAAGTTCACAAATGATTATAATACTCAGTTGTATTATAAAAAGCATTCATGATACAAAGAGTGTCATAACAGACACCAGCAATAAGGTGAGAATGGAACTCTTTTATGAACGCCTAGCTGACACATTTGTCATTCTCACACATGAACATGGCCTGGGAATAAGGTACTAAATCTCACACATATAAAGCAGTCGAAGGTTGAAATAATTACTCTCATACATGGATCACATGCACAGGTGGTTTGGTAACACTTGAACCAGAATTCAGCACACCTGTGGTGCTGTGACTCCCCTATTGTAACAAAATATTTAAGTGGGATTGGGGATCACTGGGACCATCAGCCAGGTGATGTGAATTATCATCCTGAAACCTGCCTACAAAAAGAATTGCGTCTTATATTTAGGTCCTTCACATAAGTGATGTGACTCCCTTCTAGTTCTTTGGCCCTGCATTTACAACGCATTTTGACATGTAGCTCTTCACTTCACCCAGGTTGGGTTGTGTCAACAGGAAACATTGTAACATATCACTTGGATTAGCACCTAGGTTATTTATTTATTTATTTATTTATTTATTTATTTATTTATTTATTTTGCTTTTGCCTGTGCCCCGACCACAGGGAGATTGTGATATGTTGCTGGGCTTAACAACAATGTGAGGTCAGTCTCCAGCCTTCCTACTGCACAAAAGGGTCATTGTGACATATATCTAGGCCAATTGCCTAGGTGAAATGAACCTCCTCTCTTGCTGAAGTCCTGCTTACACAGGGAGATTTGATGTAACTGAAACCAGCATCCAGATGATGTGACAATATCCTCAGGAAGGATTGTAACATACATCTGGACCAATCATCTAGGTTACATGACACCCCTAACCTGTTTGTAACCTGCTTCTTTTGGTAATTGTAGCATTTCTAAAAACTGATTCCAAATGATATGACTTTCTTGCCTGGGCCTTATCAACAGGAGCATTGTGAAATATATCTGGGTCCATCATTTAGGTGATATGACTCTCCTCCTCTGCCTGGACACTGCCCACAAGGGACATAGTTCCACAGAGCTGGAACTAGCACTCAAGTTATGTGACATTTTTGACAGTACCCTGCCTACAAAGAGAATATAGAAATACTTCTGTCGCGGAACTGAGGTAATGTGGCTGTTCTGCCTGCTTCATAACAACAGAAAATATTGTGGCATATATCTAGGTGTGGCTCACAAGAATGATAGTGAGTCTCATATGCGAATTCAGCCAATAGAGAATATTTTGATTATTATAACTAGGTTTATGAAAATGTTTGATGTCATGGATCACCTCCTGGCTCAAAGGTCACAAAAGATTACAACACCCACACATATTTTACAAAGTCTTTAGGCTATAAAGACAGAGTCAAAGCAGGGCTCAGCACACAGATGAAATTGTGACTCTTCTATGCAAACCCAGCTGGCAGTCAAGACTGTCATGATCTCACATGGATGAGGCCAAGTGTCACACATGAAAACAAGATACCTGTGGTATTGCAAATTTCATGTGTGAAATTTTCTGACCATGTGATTGTGATATAAATCATTGGAAGCAGCTTTGCAATTTCACTCTTCAGACTTATTCCAGCCCATATATGGGATTGTGATATCTACCTAGGCCAATCTCAAGGTGATGTGACTCTCCTGCCTGGGACCTTCTCTCAGTAAGAATTGTGGTATATCACTGGATCTAGCACCCAGGTGATCTTACATTCTTGCCTGCACCATGCCCAACAAAATTTTTGTGACATATTTTTATGTCTACCTCATAGGAGATGCAACCCTCTTCTCTGGAATGGACCCTGCACAAAGGAAGGATAGTGACATAATGTAAGGCCAGGCACAGAGGTGAAGATATTTTTCCCCAGAGCCATGACCAGTGGAGGGCATTGTGATATATCTCTTGGCCTATTACCCAGGTTATGTGGCTCTCTGTTTTTGCCCTGCGAACATGGACAGTGACACAGTTTTAGGACAAGAACACAGGCGAAGGTCCTCTTGCCAGGGCTATGCTTCTTAGTGGACAATGTGATAAATCTCTGGGCCTATCACCTGGGTGAAGTGGCTCCCTCCTTGGGCCTTACCCTTATGGAACACTGTGGCATAAGCAGAGAACCTGGCCCTATGTGATGTAACTGTATTGCCTGCATGCTGTCCTAAGAGAGCCTTGTGACATATCTCTGGACCCAGCACCCAAGTGATGTGGATCTTTTGCCTGATTTCTGCCCACATGTTACATTGTGACTGAATCTTTGGGAAACACCTAGGTGATATGACTCTCCTCATCTGCCAGAGCCCTGCCTACTGGAGACATTAAGACATTTCTATGAGTCCATGGCCTATGCCTTTAAAAAGGTGGGATTTTGACATATTGCTGAGCCCAGCTTAGGTCATGTGACTCTATTCATTTTTTATGAATTATGCCACAAAGGAAAATTTTGACCTATTGCACCCAGATGATGTTAGTCTTCTGCCAGAGACCTGAATAAAGAGGGAATTTTTCATACTGGTGGGCCTAGCACCCTGATGATGCTACTGTCCTGCCTGTGCCTGAGCCACAGAAAGTATTTTGACATATCTTCAGTCCATTCTGTAGGTGTTTGGCTCTCAACCCTTGGCTACGTCTTTCCACATGTGGAATTGTGTCATATCAATCAGTACAGCAAACAGATAATGTGACCCTCCTTTCTAGGTTTTGCCTAGAGAAAGCACTGTGACATGTTGCTTGCCACATCACCTAAGATATTTCATTCTTTGTTCTAAGCTTTTGCCCGCAAATGGGATTATAACATATACCTTGCTTCAGTTCACATGCATAATGGTCAAACATATACTGAGATTCAGCCAGTAGAAGATATTTTGCCTCCCATCGCTAAACTAATGCAATAGGTAAAATCCTGGGTTGCATTTTTGTAGAAGACTCACAGAAATTTACAACACTAATTCCTCTTCTACAAACTCCTTGGGTGATACAGAGAGTTCCATAACAAGGCGCTGCAAAACGTTAAAATTGTCACTCTCAATTACGCACCCAGTTGAAAGTAAAAGTTTTCACCACTGCAAATTTACAAAGCTCACTGTTGAAGTACTGGGTTTAACAAGGGAAAGCGTACAAAGAATGAATTTTGACTTTTGTATGCGGATCTGGCCACAGGTTCAATCGTGATTCAGTTTTGAAAATTATCATGTATCTTGAGTTCACAGGCATAGGGTGGCTCACTCATGTAATCCCAGGCTTGGGAGGTTGAGGAAGGCAGATCATGAGGCCAAAACTGAGACTATTCTGGCTAATACAGTGAAACTCTGTCTCTACTAAAAATACAAAAAAATTAGCAGAGAATGCTGGCAGGCACCTGTAATTCCATATCTTGCGAGGCTGAGGCAGGGGAATCACTTCAACCTGGGAAGTGGAGGTTGTAGCGAGCCGAGATTGTGCCCTGTGCCAATGTACTCCAGCCTGAGTGACAGAGTGAGACTCTGTCTCAAAAAAAAAAAAAAAAGTCTCATTCCTGAACTCAGCCTAAATGAGAGAAATACACTATCATACCTCTATCGTATCTCGATTTAAGGCAATATATAACATTATGAGTACATATGAGCATGTGAGTCACAGAGTAGTTTGCAACTCTCTTGCATGATGTATAAAGCCCTCTGATGCTGTAGAGGGTTTCATGCAATGGTCCAGCACACACGTGAAATATTAACTGATACAAGTAACAAGCTCACAGTAAAAATTGTGACCCTCAAAGATGAAGAGATTATGTCACATCACTGGGCAGACTACCAAGGTATAAAAACTTTTGCTTAAATTGTTTTCCATGTGTGCATTGCTACATATTGTTGGGTCAGAATTATAATAATGTGACTCTTCTGCCCAGGTCCTGCCAACAAGAGATATTATCACATATCTCTGAGCCTATTAGCTAGGAGATTTGTCTATTTTGCCTGTGTGACATCTCTGGAAGTAGCATCTAGGAAATGTGACTCCTCTCTGGCCTAGGTCCTGCCAGATAAAGGAATTGTGACATACCACTGAGTGCAAAACCTAGGTAATGCAACTCTCTTCTTTATTCTGGAGTCAGCCAAGAAAGAGGATAATTTCATATTGCTAGGCCTATCACCTAGGTGGTGTGACTCTCCTGTTTTTCTTCAAATCTGTCTATAGTGGACATAGTGTCATATTACTTGAGGCTGTACACAAATGATGTTACTCTTCTGACTCTGCGCTGCCTCCAAAGAAGATTATAACATATCCTGAGAACAGAATCCAGGTGACAAGACTCTCCTGCCTTGTTTCTGTCCTCAGGTGAAACTGAGTAGGCTAGAGCACTGTGAACCTTAGTGCTTGGCTCATGCAGTCTTCAGAGGAGTTTCAAAATCATAGTTTGTGGGGGGTCAAAAATAACTGGGACAAATGAGAAGCTGCTGGTGAAATAATTGGAAGCATGAACAGAATGAGACGTGCTTGGAAAAGTGCAGAAGCTGCTTAGGTGCAGCAAAACTGCTGGCCCGTTCTCTGGTTTGGGCCTTATGCCATGGAATTAACAGTCATTACCTTTATGATGCATTTGTTCAGTATTCATCCTCTGATGTTGAACACCATATGAGAACTTGTTAAAGACTTTTCCACACTTATAACATTTGCAAACTTCTCTATAGTATGAATTCTTTTTTCTAAAGAGGTGTGAGAACAAGCTCAATGCTCTGCCACATTCTTCACATTTTTAGGGTTTCTCTCCAGTGTGAATTATCTAATGATTAGTAACATCTGAGAAACACTTAAAGGTTTTGTCACATTCTTCACATTCATAAGGTCTCTTTTTCTTATAAATTCTCTTGTGGTTAATAAGGGTTGAGAAGCAGGTAAAAGCTGTCCCACATTCTTCACAATATACAGTTTCTTTCCGGTATTAATTCTCTTGTGTTTACTAATGGCTGAGAGCCACATAAAAGCTTTTTTATATTCAATATATTTGTAGGGTTTCTCTCACTATGAATTATCTTATCTTTAGTAATGTCTGAGAACTACCATAGTCTTTGTTACATTCTTCATATTTGTAGGGTTTCTCTCCAGTATGAATTATCTTAGGCTTAGCAAGTTCTGAGAACCACCTATAGACTTTGTTACATTCTTCACATTTGTAACATTTCCCCACAGTATGAACTCTCTTATGATTAGTAAGGTCTGAGAAGCACTTAAAGGCTTTGCCACATTATTCACATGCCTAAGGTTTGTCTCCAGTCTGATTTCTCTCTTTTTAGTAAGGGTTGAGGAGCAGTTACAGGTTTTGCCACATTCTTCACATTTGTCAGGTATCTCTCCAGTATGAGCTATCTTATGTTCAGCAATATTTGAGATCTTTTCAAAGACTTTACCATATTCTTCACATCTGTACCATCTCTCTGCAGTATGAATTTACTTCTGTATAGTAATATCCGAGAACAACCTAAAGTCTTTGCCACATTCTTCACATTTTTATCATTTTTCTCTGCTAAACATTTTCTTACATTCAGTAAAGATTGAGCACAACTCAAAAGCTTTGCCACATTTATTACATCAACAGGTTTTGCCATGGGTTGTTGACAAACATTGATGAAGGCCATTATAACTGCTTTTCTGCCCTTTGCAATTATCCACACTTTAGTAGTCTTTGTTTAATATAAACTATTGAGGTCAAAGCTTCCATATTTTCTCAGATTTACTTTTTTAAATGTATCTTTTATGTCATGCTCCAGCAATATCCCTGCAGAAAAATGAAAAGAGCCAGCTGAAAAGAAAAAAAAAGAACAACAGAATTCCTCCCTCATTAAGTGCAGGTGAATACACTTTACAAATGCATAATTATACAAAACACATTAACAAGGTGACAATAAAATACCACAGGTACTAATTCCTTTATAAACATATAAACTCAACAGAAATATATGGACAAAAATGTCTTTGTGAGAAGTCTAATAATCAGTTAAGCATTTGCCATTCTTCATTTTATTATGACTATAAATATAGACTCCCAACTCCTTCCTTACTCCTCCAAAAATAAGTAAAATAGTGACACCTATGTCCATGCTTCTGGATTTTTGTGACCTTACAAAAGACTAATTTCTATATTCCATGAGAGTGTTGAAAAGAAAGGTGGTGCACTTTGACACTTTTGGACAACTGAAATCAAATGTAAATGACTGTTACAAGAGAAGAGAGACATCAGTATCATTGACAGACAATGGAAATAGCAACTGACTACAGGACCTTAATTAGAAACATGGAAAAAGTCGTGGCTCATGCCTGTAATCCCAGCACTTTGGGAGGCTGAAGCCAGTGAATCACATGAGGTCAGAAATTCAAGACCAGCCAGGTCAACATGGTGAAATCCCATCTCTAATAAAAATACACAAATTGGCTGGGTGTGATGGCAGTCACCTGTAATCCCAGCTACTCAGGAGGCTGAGGCCGGATAATTGCTTAAAGCCTGGAAGTGGAGTTTGCTGTAAGCTAAGATTGCACCATTGCACTCTAGGTTGGACAACAAGAGTAAGACAGAAACAAAGAGAGAAAGAAAGAAAGAAAGAAAGAAAGAAAGAAAGAAAGAAAGAAAGAAAGAAAGAAAGAAGGAAAGAGGAAAAGAAAGAAAGAAGGAAAGAAAGAGGAGGAGAGAGAGAAAGAAAGAAAGAAAGAAAGAAAGAAAGAAAGAAAGAAAGAAAGAAAGAAAGAAAGAAAAAGAGAGAAAAGAAAAAGAGCAAGAAAAAAACATGGGGGAACTTTTTAAACAAAAAATCACACAAGTTAAGGGAAAATATTCATAGAACAGGCTTGAGAGACTCCAAGAATCTCTAGCCTAAAAAAATGTGTAACTTATTTTTCAAGATTTTGACATATGCCTTTTTATTAAATAAATTGCAACCTAAGATTAGAACATACAGCAAACATCAAGATAATATGACTCAATCAAAAACAAAAATAAATATTCAGGATTCAGTTATTAAAAAATGAAGATGGAAGAATTACCTGAAACAATCAGATTTAAATTCTAGATCTATTGTTAAAAGAAAAGAATAAATTATCCTAAACTATCAAAATTACCATCTTAATGATGCTCAGTGAGCAAATGGAAATAAAGCAGGCAAAATGAAAGAACAAAAATGAAACCAACAAAAAAATGCACAAAAAGAAATACAAATTTTGGAGTATGAGAACCAAAAAAACTAATATGCACTTCAACATTAGTAAAAAAAATAAGAAAATCAAGAATCTCAGAAAATTTTAACTGAGTTTAACAAAAAGAGATTTCTAACAAGACAAAACATAAGGAATGTTTTGAATGTCACAAACACGAAGAGAAGCTGTAATGCCAGGAGCAAAAATAGATATGTTATTTATATGCAGGCTTCTGTAAGATTACCAGTAAATTTATGAACATAAATCTTTCAGGCGAGAAGAGAGGAGAATGACATAGTCAAAACATAGGAAAAAAGTCTAAGCAAGAATACTATATCCAGCAAAAGTATCACTCAAAATAAAAAAATTAGTCTAACTACATCATGTTCTGTATCAAGATCTAACTATGTCATGGCTTCAAGAGACTCACTTCAAAGCAAATAAAAAAATAAACTGGAAATGCCAGGGTGAAAAATACATTCCATGCAAGTGTTAACCAAATGAGAGGAGAAGAGACAACAATTATTAAGTTGGCAACTGTCATATTTAATAAAATTTAGTTTTAGTGAAATTTTGCAAGAGACAAAGTAGGACATTCAATTATAGAAGAGGGTTCATTCACGGAGAACCTATAAATATATGACAGTTTTCCCAAACACATGAAGCAAACATTGACAGAATTGATGCAAAAATAGACAGCAATATAATAATGGATGCATACATCAACATCACACTTTCAAAAAAATAAACAAGACAGAATATCAATAAGGAAACAAAATAATTGAATGCACTATACAATAATTACATTTAACAACTGTATACAGACAACAGCATATACATTCATTTCAAAAGCTCATAAAACATTTTCTGGCCGGGTGCGGTGGCTCACGCCTGTAATCCCAGCACTTTGGGAGGCCGAGGCGGGCTAATCACGAGGTCAGGATTTCGAGACCACCCTGGCTAACACGGTGAAACCCCGTCTGTACTAAAAATACAAAAAAAAATTAGTCCGGTGTGGTGGAGGGCGCCTGTAGTCCCAGCTACTCCGGAGCCTGAGGCAGGAGAATGGCGTGAACCTGGGAGGCAGAGCTTGCAGTGAGCCGAGATCGCGCCACTGCACTCCAGCCTGGGCAACAGAGCGAGACTCCGTCTCAAAAAAAAAAAAAAAAGAAAAAAAGAAAAAAAAATTTCCTACACGAACCACTTGTGACACTACAAAAGAAGCAGTAACAATTTTTTTATTGAAATTTTACAATTATTTACATCCCGAATGGAATGAAACTAGAAATCAGCAAAAGAAGAAAAGCTGAAGAATTCAAACAATATAATATTTAAAAACACAGATTTTTTAAAATTTCTTTTTTGATGGAGTATCGCTCTGTCACCAACCTCCAGTTTCCGGGGACAAAGGATTCTTCTGCTTCAGCCTTCCACGTAGCTGTAAGTACAGGCAGACACCACCACGCCCAGCTAATTTTTTGTATTTTAGTAGAGATGAGGTTTTAACATTTTGCCCAGAATTGTCTCGATCTCCTGATTTCTCCATGCACCCTCCTCGGACTCCCAAAGTGCTGGGATTACAGGCACGAGACACCATGCTCAGCCAACAACACACTTTTGAGCAGGCTTTTTTTTTCAGGGGTTGGAAGACATAATATTGCGAAGATGTCCATGCTGCTTAAAGTGACCCAATGCTCAACATACCCCTTGTTATTTTTAATCATATTTTTCAAAAATAGAAAAAAAAACCTGTAAGATCTCAAGGGACCATGAATAGTCTGACAATCTTGAAAAATAAGAAAAATATTGGAAGCCTCACACTTAACAATTTTCATACACACACAAAAACCTACAGTAACCAAAGCACTTTGGTACTGATATAAAACTAGAACACTAAAGTAATGAAACAGAATGCAGCACAGAAATAAACCCTTGAATGGAGAAAAGAGACATACCACCTAGGTTTTGCATTCAGCTGTATGTCACAATTCCTTTGGTAAGCAGTATCCAGGCAGGGGAGGAGAATTTCATTACCTAGATGCTAGTTTCAGCCATATTTCAAAATGTACTTGGGGGCAGGGCACAGGCTGGGGAGACATATCACCTAGCGGATAGGCCCAGAGATACGTGATAATATCTCCTGTTGACATGGCCCAGGCAGAAAAGTCACATTATTTTTATTCTGACCCAGCAATACATAACAATGCACCCATGGAAAGAAAATAGAGCCACAATCTCACAACATCTGGATAGTAGGCCCAGTGACATGACACAATCTCAACATTTTTCAGGTCGATACTTCTAATTTTTAGCTGTGTGTATATTAGATTCACAGTCTCACATGTGAGCTGGGTCAGTATATGACACTCTCTACAATATCCATGGGCTTTATAAAACCTACATGAAGTGGTAGGTTGCAGTGGCTCATGCCTGTATTCACAGCGCTTTGGAAGGGTGAGACGGATAGATCATAAGGTCAGGAGTTCAAGACCCACCTGGACAAGATGGTGAAACTCCATCTCTACTAAAAATACAAAAAATTAGCCAGGCATGGTGGCAGGGGCCTGTAATCCCAGCTACTTGGGAGACTGAGGCAGGAGAATTGCTTGAAGTCATAGTGCAGAGGTTGCAGTGAGCTGAGACTGCCCCACTGCACTGCAGCCTGGGTGACATAGTGAGACTCCATCCCAACAGAAAAAAAAAAAAAAAAAAAAACACCTCCATGAAGATTGTCAACCTCTCTGAGGCATATGTGCACACACAATCTTACATATTGCACTCACAATCTTACATATTGTCCAAAACCCATGTTTGATAGTCAATATCTCCCCTATAGGCAGAGTTAATGCAGAAGACCTATTATTATGTCTGTGGACTGGATCCAGAAATGACTAATTATTCCACTTGTGGGCAGATCAACACATAAAAGTCACAATTCCAACTCTGTGCTTTATTTCCTTGTTACATTCAGGACTTCAAAAGTGGGCATTGTAAATGTGGGATTTGTGAAAACTTTTTATTATTATTATTATACTTTAAGTTCTAGGGTACATGTGCACAATGTGCAGGTTTGTTACATATGTATACAAGTGCCGTGTTGGTTTGCTGCACCCATTAACTCATTATTTACATTAGGTATTTCTCCTAATGCTATCCCTCCCACATTCCCCCACCCAAGGACAGACCCCAGTGGTGATGTTCCCCGCCCTGTGTCCAAGCATTCTGATTGTTCAATTTCCACCTACAAGTGAGAACATACGGTGTTTGGTTTTCTGTCCTTGCAATAGTTTGCTCAGAATGATGGTTTCTAGCTTCATTCATGTCGCTACAGAGGACATGAACTCATCCTTTTTATGGCTGCATAGTACTCAATGGTGTATATGTGCCTCATTTTCTTAATCCAGTCTATCATTGATGGACATTTGGGTTGGTTCCAAGTCTTTGCTATTGTGAATACTGCTGCGATAAACATACGTATGCAAGTGTCTTTATAGTAGCATGATTTGCAATCCTTTGGGCATATACTCAGTAATGGGATGGCTAGGTCAAATGGTATTTCTAGTTCTAGATCCTAGAGGAATTTCCACACTGTCTTCAACAATGTTTGAACTAGTTTACACTCCGACCATCAGTGTAAAAGCGTTACTATTTGTCCACATCCTCTACAGCACCTGTTGTTTCCTGACTTTTTAATGATCATCATTCTAACTGGTGTGAGATGGTATCTCATTGTGGTTTTGATTTGCATTTCTCTGATGACCAGAGATGATGAGCATTGTTTCATGTGTCCATTGGCTGCTTGTATGTCTTCTTTTGCAAAATGTCTGTTTATATCCTTTGCCCACTTTTGGATGGGGTTGTTAAATTTTTTCTTGTAAATTTCTTTAAGTTCTTTGTAGATTCCGGATATTAGCCCTTTGTCAGATGGGTAGATTGGAAAAATTTTCTTCCGTTCTGTAGCTTGCCAGTTCACTCTGATGGTAGTTTATTTTGCTGTGTAGAACCTCTTTAGTTTCGTTAGATCCCATTTGTCTATTTTAGCTTTTGTTGCCATTGCTTTTGCTGTTTTAGTCATGAAGTCCTTGCTCATGCTTATGTCCTGAATGATATTGCCTAGGTTTTCTTCTAGGGTTTTTATGCTTTTAGGCCTAAGATTTAAATCTTCAATCCATCTTGAATTGATTTTTGTAAAAGGTGTAAAGAAGGGATCAAGTTTCAGCTTTTGTAATATGGCTATCCAGTTTTTGGGAAGGTGAAAACTTTTGATTTTGCCTGGGTGCATAATCGAGAGTCCCAATCTCAACTTTTCATTAGGTCCTGTTATGAAACTCTCTACCATCAAAGAGTTTATATAATATAAGTTGGTGTTGTAAACTTCTGTCAACTTGGAATCAATATACAATCCAGGAGTTTACCTATTGCCCTAAGCTTAGCAATGTGAGGTAAAATATCTCCTATTGGCTGAATCCAAATATACATTTGATCACCATGTCTTTGAACTGAAGCAAGGTACATGTCATAATCCCATTTGTGGGCATAAAATGGGGCAGAAGGTTAACATCACTTAGATGCTGTATCACAATGCCTTGTGATGCTATGCCACATTTGTCACATGTGGTGCTCTGTCACAATTCCTTCTTTTGACAGTGTATAGGAATTTGGGTCACAATAACTGGGTGCCAGACCCAGGAACATGACACCATTCCACATGTGGAAAAACCCAGCCAAGTTATGAGAGGCAAAACACCTATATAATAGGTCCAAGATGTGTCAAAAAACCTTCGGTGGCTCCAGAACAGGCAGGAGAGACACATGATAAGGGTGTTGAGTCCAGCAATATACAATATGTCATAAATTTCCCTTTATGCAGAACCCAGGCAGAAGAGTAACATCATCTGAATGCTGGGCCATGCAATAAATCAAAATACATTATTTTGTGGGTATGGATCGGGAAAAAGAGGTGAGTCACCTATCCTGAGTGCTGGGCTCAGCAATATGTCAAAATCCTCCTATTGTGAAGTCCCAGGCGGATGAAGAACATCACATCACTTAGGCGATGGGCTCAGAGATATGTCCCAATGTCTCCAGTAGGCAAGGCTCAGGCATATGAGCAGAGTCATATCACCAGGTGCTTCCCTGGAAATATGTCACAATGTAACACATGGGCAGAAACCAAGTAGAGGAGCCACATCACTCGGATGCTGGGTCCTGAAATATGTCACAAGGCTGTCTTAGGACAGCAACAAGCAAAGAGGGTTACATCATGTAGTTGTAGGTTTTCTGCTTATTCCACAGTGCTTTATTTCAGTAGGGCCCAAGGAGAGAGTCCCTTCACCTAGGTGATAGACCCTGAGATTCGTCACAACGTCCTCTATAAAGCATAGCCCTGACAAAAGAGTATCATCACCTGTGTGCCTAGCCTAGAAATATGTTACTCCAGGTTGGCAAGGTCCGAGCAGGAGAGCCATATAACTCAGGTGATAGGCCCAGATATAATTCACAATGCCCTCCTTTGAATATTGCTCTGGCAAAGTAATACCCTCAACTCTGTGTCTGGCCTTGCAATATGTCACTATCTTTCATCTGTGCATGGCCCATTCCAGAGAGCAGAGTTACATCATCTATGAGGAGGACACAAAAATATGACACAATAATTTTGGTGGGCATGGTGCAGGCAAGAATATAACATCACCTGGGTGCTAGATTCAGTATGTTACAATCCTTACTCAGAGAAGGGCCCAGGTAGGAGAATCATGTCACCTTCAGTTTGGCCTAGCCAGATATCACAATCCCATATGTGGGCTGCAACAAGTCAGGAGAGTCAAATTACACAAGTGCTTGGCACAGATTTATATCACAATCACAGTGTTAGATAATTGCAAAGATGAGATTTACAATACCACACATATCCTGTTTTCATGTGTGATATTTGTCTTTATCCATGTGAGATAATGACAGTCTTTACTGTCAGCAGGGTGTGCATACAAGACACAATTTAACCTGTGTTCTGAGCCCTGCTGTGACTCTGTCTCTATAACCCAAAGACTTTGTAAAATATGTGTAAATGTTGTAATCTTTTGTGACATTTGTATAAGAACGTTATTCAGGACATCATGCATGTACCTAAACTTGGTTATAAGAGTTAAAATAACCTCTATTATCTCAATCCCCATATGACAGTCATTATCATTCCTGTGAACCATGCCTAGGTATATATTACAATTCTTTGTATGGCTATGAAGCAGGAAGAACAGCCATATTACCTAAATGCTGGGCCAGAATTATTCCAATATTCTCTTTGTAGGCAAGGTCTTGTCATAAATGTCAAAACACTTGTGTGCAAGGTCCAGCTCTTGGCACAGTGTCCTTTGTGGGAAGTGTCAGAGCAGGAGAGTAGGGTCATTTCACTTAATGGTGGGCCCAAAAATATTTCACAATGCCTCCTGTTAACAGGGCCCAGGCAGGAGATGTATCATTTAGATGCAGTGTTTAGTAATGCTACAATTACCAAAGGAAGTAGAATACAGGCAGTAGAGGGTAGAGGAGAGTCACATAACCTAGATGATGGGTCCAGAAATGTATTACAATCCCCCCTGAAGACACTGTTAAAATAGCACAGTCAAATCACCAAGGTACTTTGCCCAGGTATTTGTCAAAATCTCATTTGTGGGCTATACCTAGCAAAATTATTAAATCATTCTGGAGCTGGGCAAAGGTATATGTCACAATTATACTTGTGGAAAGGTTTAAAAATAAGAGTCATCATCTTGCACATGTTCTGGGCCCAGGTATATGACTTGTTATTAGGCTTTTGTTATGGTCTTAGGTATATAGCACAATATCACCTGTGGACACAGAGAAGGCAAGAATGTCACATCACCTATTTGGGTGTGAGTCCTGTGAGATGTCACAATCCCCCTTGTGGGAAGCCCCTTATAGAAAATTCACATCACCTGGATGCGGGTTTCAGTGACATATCAAAAACCCCTCTGTGGGCAGGACTTTGGAAAGAGAGGAGACTCACTTAACCTAGGCAGCTGGTCTAGATACATCTCACAGTGTTTGTTCTGTGCAGTACCAAAGCTGGAGAGTGACATTGGTGCTGGACCCAAGAATTTCACAATCTCCTTGTAATCAAGCCACAGGCCAAAGCAGAAAAACATAACCTAGGTGTTGAGCCAAGAGATATGCTACAATGCTTTCTGTTGGCTGAACCGAAGAAGAAGAATCACGTCACCTTGCTGCAGTGCCCAGTTATGTGTCACAATGCACTGTAAGTGAAAGGCCAAGGAAATATAGGGAGTCACATTACTTATGTGATGGGCCTAGGTAAAAGACACTATTCTCTTTGTAGGCAGATTTCAGGGAGATAATTCACCTCACCTGGGTGATGGTCCCAGGGATATACAAAAGTGCCATTTTGTAGGCATAGCCAAAGAAAGTATTATACATGGCTTAGGTATTTGTCCATGTATGACACAATTTCATCTGTGGCCTGGGCCTAGAAGAGACAGTCAAATTATTCACATGCTGGGCAATTTTACCTGTCCCAATCACCCTCTCAGAAGTGCTCAGAAATAAGTTTTTTATTCCACATGAATCCTGGTTTTGTATATTTGAGTTAATTTTTTCTATGAATTAGGTCAAAGTAGAGGAGTCACAATCCCAACAATGGGCAAGATCCATGTGTAAGCCTCAATCCTGCCTCAATCCTACTTGAATATTGTGTTCCAGTAGGAGAGTCATAGCACCACAAGTGTGCTGAATCATGTTTCAAATGTTTAAAAACCACCTGTTAATCACATCCACGTATGATAGTAATTATTTCAACCTTCAACACTTTTTATGTGTGAGATTTAGTACCACATTCCTAGACCTGTTTATGTGTAGGAATGACAATTGTGTCAGCTAGGTGTGCATACAAGAGTCACATTCTCACCTGGTTGCTCTTCTCTGTTATGACACTCTTTGTACCAATAAGGCTTTATGTGATATACCAGAGCATTATAATCATTCATGAACTTTATGGAAGTGAAAAACCCAGTACCTTACCCATGACAGTGAGATGGATATGAGAGTCACAATATCTCTACTGGCTGGGTCCAGGAATGGAAGTTATTATTACCCATGTATGCTTAACACAGGTATATGTCACAATTTTACCTGTGAGCTGGGACAAAGCGGGAGAGCCACATAACCTGGGTGCTGAGCCAGTGACACAATATAATTTCATTTGTAGGCTGGGCCTAGTCAGAAGAGTCAAATCACCTAGATGTTGGGGTCTGCAATGTGTAGTAATTCCCTCTCTTGGCAGCGTCTAGAATAGGAAGGAGAGTCACATCACATAGTCATATCACACAGTGGTATGTCACCACATCTGTGGTGAGCAGTACCCAGGCAGGAGAGGAGAGTCACATGACCTAGATGTTTGGTCAAAAGATATTTCACTATGTGCTCTGGGAATAGGTACAGACAGGAGAGAAAAATCACCTATCTCATAAGCCCAGAGATAAGCAATAATATCCCCTGTTTCCAGGGTACAGGCAGAAGTAACATGATTATGATTCTAACCCTGCGATATGCCAAAATGAACCAATGGGAAAAAAAATAAACCAAAAAGTCCCAATACATGGGTATTAGGCCTAGTAATGTTCCAAATCTTTTTGGATTTGAGAGTGACACCGTTAAATTGAGCTAGCTGTGTCTATGAGAGTCACAATCTTACATGTTTTTTGGGCTACATTTGAAGGCTTTATACAGCATTTTGAAGCATTTATACCACATGCATCAGGGTTGCAAACCACTCTGAAGCCTACATGCTTATAGGGATTCATGATCTCACATATTGCCCTAAACGCAGGTATGATAGTAAACATCTTTCCCATAGGCTGGTTTTAGGTATGAGATGCATTATTATGCCTATGAGCTGGACACAGAAATGAGTCACCATCCCCCCTGTGGCCAGATCCACATATGAAGGTCAAAATTCCAACTTTGTACTGTATTCACTTGTTAGACTCAGGATGTTAACAGTGGGCTTTGGACATGTGGGATGGTGACAACATTTGCTTTCACCTGGGAATGTAATCAGGAGTCCCAATCTGAACTTTTTGCTGGTCCCTGTCATGAAACTCTCTGTTCCAGTCAAGAAACATATACATTATGAGTTGGAGTTGTAAAGTTCTGTGAGCTTTCTAGATATTTGCAACCAAGGATCTTACTTATTGCCCTATGACTAGAGATGAAAGGCAGAATATCTCCTATTGGTTGAATCCAAGTATAAGTTTGACCATTATATGTCATAGTACCATTTGTGGGCAAAAAACTAGGCAGGAAGGTAACATTACTTAGGTGCTGTGCCAAGCAACATGTCCCAATGCCCTTTGTAGGCAGTGTATAGGAATTAGAGTCACATTAACTAGGTGCTGGACTCAGCAATATGCCCCAGTCTCAAAGGTGGAATAAAATCCAGACCAGGCACAATGACTCATGCCTGAAATATCAGCACTTTGGGAGGCCAAGCCTGGAAAATCACAAGGAAGGGTTCTAGACCAGCCTGACCAACTTACTGAAACCCTGTCTCTACTAAAAATACAAAAATTAGCTGAGCATGGTGGCACGTGCCTGTAATCCCAGCTACTCAGGGGGCTGAGACAGAATAATAGCTTGAACCCAGGAGGAGGAGGTTGCACTGAGCCGAGGTCATGCCATTGCACTCCAGCATTCCAGCCTGGGTGACAGAGCAAGACTCCTTTATCTCCACGCCCCACTGCCGCAAAAAAAAGCCAAGTTATGAAAGACAAAAGACCTACATAATGGGCCCAGGGGGTCAAAATATCTTCTGTGGCTCTGGGACAAGCATGAGAGTCATATTACAAATTTTTAGGGTGCTGGGCCCAGCAATATGCCATAGTTCTCTCTATATGCAGGACCCAAGCAAAAGAGTAATATCATCTATGTGCTGGGGCCACGCAATAAGTCAAAAATTTTTGTGTGTTCATGGTTCAAGAAAAAAAAAAGGATAAAATAACCTGAGTGATGGGCTCAGCTATATGGCACAATCCACTGATGTAAAAGCCAGAGAGAAGAAGCAGTTAGTTTATTAGGTTATGGGCTCAGAGATATTTCCCAGTGCCCCCAATAGGCAGGGCCCAGGCAGAAATGGAGAGTCATATCACCTAGGTGCTTCCCTAGTTATATGTCACAAACTAACATGTGGGCAGAAACTAGACAGAAGAGACACATCACTTGGGTACAGCCTCAAATAATATGTCATCATCCCCAGTGTAGACAGTTTTGAAGAAGAAAAAGAGAATCACACCAGTTGGGTGCTGAGCTCAGAAATATGGAATAATTCCTCCTCTAGGCAGAGTTTAGGAAAAAGAGGAAAGTCATGTCAACAAGGTTTTATGCTCAGTAACATGTCACAATTTCTTCAGTAGGCAGGATCCAAGCAGGAGAGGAGAGTCATATTACCTAGATATTTTATCTTGTGGTATGCTATAGTGTCCCCTGTGGGCAGGACACTGGAAGGGAGAAATATCACCTAGCAAGTAGGACCAGAGCTATCTAAAAATATTCCCTGATTATTGGGTCTAGGCAGAAGAATCGCATTATCATTACTCTGAACCAGTGATATGTAACAAAGCCCTTATAGAAAGGAAGTTAAGCCAAAAAGTCTCAACACCTGGTTGCTAAGCCAATGGATATGACACAATCTTCTCATTTTTAAGAGTGAAAATATTAACTGTTAGCTAGTTGTGTATATGAAAGCCACAATCTCACATGTGTGCTGACCATTGTATGGCACACTCTACAACATCAGGGAACTTTGTTCAACATGCATCAGGGTTGCTAACTTTTCTTAGGCCCAAACACTTATATGGACTCATGATCTTACATATTGCCATAAACCCAGGCATGACAGTAAACAGCTCTCCTATAGGCTGGACTCAGGAATGAGACCACTATTATGCCTGTAAGCTGGTGCCAAAAATGAGTCACCATCCCATGCGTGGCCACATTCACTTATGAAAGTCACAATTCCAACTTTCTGCTGTATTTACTTGTTAGACTGAGGAACTCAACAATGGGCTTTGTAAATGTAGGATGACAATAACTTTTACTTTCATGAGAGTGTGTAGTCAAGAGACACAATCTTAACTTTTGCTCGGCCCTATTATGAAACTCTGTACTACCCAATAAGTTTTCCTGATATGAGTTAATATTGCAAATTTCAGTGTGCTCTGTTCAAATGTGAAATGAAGGACCTTACCTATCGACCTAAATATAGATGCTAGAGGCAAGATATCCCCTATTGGGTGAATCCCAATATAAGCTTGATCATCTTGCCTTTGAACTGAACCAAAGTATATGTCATAATCCCATTTGTGGGCAAGAAAACCAAGCAAAACTTTAAAATTACTTAGGTGTTGTGCCACACGATATTTCACAATGTCCTCTCTAGGCAAGGGCTAGGAAAAGGGTCACATTAACTGGGGGCTGGAGCCACCAATATGATACAACCTCATGTGGAGAAAATCCAGAAAAGTGATGAGAGTCAAAACACCTACCGAATGGGTCAAAGATACGTCAAAATACCTTCTGTGGCTTGGGCAGAAGCAGGAGAGTTACATCTTTGTGGTGCTGGGCTGAACAATATGCTATAACTCCCTATTTATGCATGACCTAGGCAGAAGACTGACATAATCTGGGAGTTGGGCCCTGAAGCATGGGAAAAGTCCTGTTTGTGGGTGTTGTTCAGCAAAAAGATGAAAGTCACATTACCTAAGGGCTGGACTCATCAATATATCATAATATTCTCATTATAAAAGCACAGTCAGAAGAAGAGAGTCACATGATTTAGGTCATGGGCTCAGAAATATGTCCCAATGTCACCAGTATGCTGGGCTCAAGCAGAAAAAGAGAGTCATATCATCCAATTGCTTCCTTAGCTATATGTCACAAATTAATATGTGGGCAGATACTAGGCTGAAGAGACACATCACATGAATTTTGGTCCTGATGTATTCACAAGTCCCCTTTAGAAAAGGACCCAGACAATGGAGATACATCACCTATGTCCAGGTTCCAGCTTTATGTCACAATGCCCCATGTGGGCAGGACCAAGCAAGACGTCACATAAACTAGGTGATAGCCACAGAGATGTGTCACAAAGTCTTCCTTAAAGCATGGCCCTGTCAAAAGAGTACCATCACCTTTGTGCCTGGCCTAGCAATATGTCACTGTTCAAGTGGGCAGGTCCCAAGCTGAAGAGCCATATCACCTACAAGATAGGCCCTGAGATATGTCAAAATGTCCTCTTTTGGTCAAGGTCCTGACAAAAGAGTATCATCATCTGTGTGTGTGGCCTAGAAATGTGTCACTATTCTTCCCTGTGTGCAGGGCTCATTCCAGAGATGAGAGTAACATCTTCTAAGGGATGGACACAGTGATATGTCACAATGATGTTTCTGGGTATGGTGCAGACAAGAATGTAAAGTCACCCGGGAGCTGGATCCAGTGATGTCACCATTCTTACTGAGCATGATCCAGGCAGAAGAGTCATATCATTTTAAGAGTGGCTCAGGTAGATATCAAAATCCCATATGTAGGCTGGAACCAGTCTGAAGAGTAAAATCACACAGGTACTTGACAAAGATTTATATCACAATCACGATAGAATAAAATTCTAGGGATTAGATTTACCATACCACACATGTCCTGTTTTCATGTAGGAGAGTTGCCTCCATCCATCTGGAATAGTGAAATTCCTTACAGTCAGCTGGTGTGCATTGGAGACTCACAATTTCTTTTGTGTGCTAGGCCCTGTTATGACACTCTCTGTACAACCCAAAGGTGTTATAAAATATGTGTGATTTTTGTAATCTTCTGTGACCTTTTCCAGAAGAAGAACCTCCATATCACTCATGTACATCAACCTAGTTAGATGAGTCAAAATTTCTCCTATTGGCTCAGACCACATATGAGAGTCATTATTATGCCTGTTAGCTGTGCCTACGTATATGCCACCATCCACTTTGTGGTTACTAAACAGGCAGGACAACCATGTCACCTAAATCCGAAGCCAGAAAAATTCCAATATTCTCTTTGTAGGCAAGACCCTCACAGAAACATCACAAATATTGGGTGCTAAACCCAGCTCTATGGCATAATGCCTCCTGTGCAGAGTGTCCAGGCAGGAAAGGTGAGTCATACCACCTAAATGATGGGCACAGAAATATTTCACAATACCTTCTGTCAAAAAGGTTAGGCAAGAGGGTTATGTTGTTTGGATACAGTGCTTAAAAATGCTACACTCTTCACTGGAAGCCGAGTTCAGGCAGGAGAGGAGAGTCACATACCTAGACAAGGGGTCTAGGAGTATGTTGTGAACTCTTCTGAGGATACTGTTAAAACATGAGAGTCAAATCGCCAAGATTGTTATCTCAGGTTTATGTCAAAATGTCATCAGTGGGCTATAACTAGGCAGGATTATTAAATCACTCAGGAGCTGGGCAAAGTTATGTCACAACACCACCAATGGAAAAGTTTAGGGATGAGAGTCACCATCCTGCACATGTCCTGGCTCCAAGTACAAAAGTCGTTGTTAGGCCTTTCATCTAGTCTCAGTTATATGGCACAACATCACCTGTGGGCAGGGAGGGAGAAGAAAGGAAAGTCACATCACCTGAGTGGATTCTGGTCCAGTGAAATGTCACAATGCTCCTTGTGGGCAGGATTCTGGAAAAAGAGGCACATCACATAAATGTTGGTTTCAGTGACATATCTGAATTTCCCCTGTAGGCAGGGCTTAGGCAGGATAGGAGACAAACCTCACCTAAGCAACTGGTCTGGATATATGTCACAATTTCCCCTGTGTGCAGGACCATGCAGGAGAGGGACCAAACTTGGTGTTGGGTTCAGCAATATTTCACAATCTCTCCAGTAGTCAGGGCCCAGGCAAAAAAGAATAAGCCTCACATAGATGCTGAGACAAGTGACACATCATTTCCTACTGGTAAAACCCCTCCCATAAAAAAGAGTCATATCACCTGGGTGCAGTACCCAGTGATGTGTCACAATGCACCATAAGTGCATGGCCAAGGCATTAGAAGAAAGTCAAATAACTTATGTGATGGACCTAGATAGAAGCCACAATACTCTTCACAGGCAGAGTTTGGAACAAGTTTTCACATCAGTTGAGTGCTGGTCCCAATGATATGAAAAAATGTGCCCTTTGTCACATTGCCAAAGAAGGTGTTGGACTTAGCTTAGGTGCTTGGTGCATACATGTCACAATTTCAGTTGTGCTCTGGGCCCAGAAAGGAAGGTGAAAACACTCAGATGCTGGGCAAAGTCATACTTCTCAATCACAAACTTGAAAATATTAAGAAATAAGTTTCACAGTCTCACACAATTCCTGGCTTCTGGTATGAGAGTCAACACCCCCCTATGATTTGGGTTGCAGTACAAGCATTACAATCCCAACGAGGGGAAGAATCCATGTATAAAAGCCCGAATCCCAGTAAATAATTGTGTTCCAGCAAGAGAGTCAAACACCACAGTTCTACTTAATCATGGCTCAAATGTCATTAAACCACCTGTGGAGTAGATACATGTATGAGAGTAACAGTATCAACTGCTCAGGTGTGAGAGATTTAGCACCTCATTCATAGGCTCTGTCCATGTGTGAGAATGACAATTGTGTCAGCTAGGTGTGGATCCAAGAATCACAATAGCATCTGGTTTCTATGTTATGACAGTCCTTGTACCACTCAGGCTTTATATAATATTCCTGAGTAGCATACTTTTCTGTGAATTCTTACAGTTGGAAATCTGAGACATTCCCCAAGCCTGTATGACTGGCTATGAGAGTTGAAATATCTGCCCTGGATGGGTCTAGATATGAGAGTTATTATTGTGCATATGGGCTGAATGCAGGTATATGTCACATTTTCACCTTTGGACAGAGACAAGACAGAAGTGTTACATCATCAAGGTGCTGAGCCAGGGATACATTAAAACCTTCTTTGTACACAGGACCCTGTCAGAAGAGCCATGTCACCTGGGTACAATCTCAAATATGACATCATGCTCACTGTATACAGGTTTGAAAAAATATTGAATAGTCACATTCCCTAAATGCTGTGTGCAGTAATACCTGATAATTCCCTCTTTTGTCAGAGTCCGCGAGAAAGAGAAGAGTCACATCACTTAGGTTTTGCACTCAGTGGTATGTCCCAATTTCTTCAGTGGGCAGGATCCAGGCAAGAGAGGAGAGTCACATTACCTATGTGCTATATTTAGAGATATGTCACAGTGTCCTCTGTGGTCAGAAAACTGGGAGGAGAAACACATCACCTGGCTTATAAGACCAAAAATGTGGGATAATATGTCCTGTTGGCTGGGTCCAAGCTGAAAAATATTACTATTTTTTTTTTTCCGGGATGAAGTCTCCCTCTGTCACCCAGGCTGGAGTGCAGTGGCATGATCTAGGCTCACTGCAAGCACTGCCTCCTGGGTTCATGCCATTCTCCTGCCTCAACCTCCTGAGTAGCTGGGATCACTGGTGCCTGCCATCATGCTGGCTAACTTTTTTGTATTTTTAATACAGACAGGGTTTCACCGTGTTAGTCAGGATGGTCTTGATCTCCTGATCTTGTGATCCACCAGCCTCAGCCTCCCAAAATGCTGGAATGACAGCATGATCCACCATGTCCAGCCACATTATTATGATTCTAACTCAGAGATATTTTACAGTGCACCCATGGGAAAAAATTTAGCCAAAAACTTTCAACACCGGGTACTAGGCCTAGTAAAATAACACAATCTTCTCATAATTTAGTGTAACATCTTTAACAGTTAGCTTGGTGTGTATATAAGGGTCGCAATCTCATGTGTATTTTGGGTCGTAGTATGACACACTCTATAATATCTGGAGGTTTTAGGCAATATGCATGAGAGTTGAAAATCTCTGAGTCGTACATGCTTGTATTGACTCACAATGACACATATTGCCCTAAACCCAGTTATGATAGTCAATATCTCTCTTATAGGCTGGGTTCAGACATGAGACACATTATTATGCCTTTAATATGGGTCTAGAAATGATTCATCATCTTGCCTATAGTAAGATCCACATATGAAACTCACAACTCCATCTTTGTACTTTATTTACTTGTTAGAATCAGGACTTCCACACTGGGCTTTGCAAATGTGGTATGGTGATAATTTTTGCTCTCACCTGCATATGTAATCAGGAGTCACAATATTACCTTCTGCTGGGCCCTGTTATAAAACTCTGTGTACCACCCAAGGAGTTTATATGGTATGAGTTAGTGTTGCAAACTTATGTTACCTTTATACAAATATGCAACTCATAACCTTACCTATTGCTGAAGCATAGAAATGAGAAGAAAATATCACTAGTAGTGGAATCTAAATTTAAGTTTGATCATCTTGCCTGTGAAATGACACAATATAAATTTCATAATCTCATTTGTAGGAAAAATACTACTAAGATGCTGTGTCAAGCAATATGACACAATACCTTTTTTAGGCAGGGT
This sequence comes from Homo sapiens, assembly GCF_000001405.40. Lineage (NCBI taxonomy): Eukaryota > Metazoa > Chordata > Mammalia > Primates > Hominidae > Homo > Homo sapiens. The sequence continues at coordinate 8,332,966 of NC_000024.10, read as the reverse complement.
CTAGAAGTTAGGGTTACATTAACTGGGTGCTGGACCCAGTAATATGACAAAATCCCAAATGTGAAAAAAAGAAACATAGAAAAATAATAGCAAAAACACCTATGCAATAGGCCCAAGATAAGTAAAAATACTTTTTGTTGCTCTAGCACAGGAGAGAAGTTTACATCATCAGGATGAGGGTGCCTAGCAGTATACCATAATTATTTGTTTATGCAGGACATGTACAGAAGAGGAACATCATCTAGGTGCTGAGCCCTGCAATCCGTCCAAATTCTTTTTCATGTGCATAGTTCAGGATAAAAAGTAGAATCATATTACCTAAGTATTGGGCTTAACAATGTGTCACATCACCATACTTTAAAGGCTCAAGCAGAAGAAAAGAGTCACATCACTTAGGACCCAGGCTCAGATCATTAGCCAAATATTCCAAGTAGGCAGGAGTCAGGTAGAAGTGTAGTCATATCACCTAGGTGCTTCTCCAGGTACATGGCACAATCTAACATGTGAGCTGAAGCCAAGCAGAATAGCCACCTCACCTTGATGCTGGGTCCTGAAATGTGTCACATGGCTCCCTTAGGACAGGACCTAGGCAAGAGAGTTACAACAAATAGATGCAGGGTCTACACTTATTTCATAATAATCCATGTGGTCAGGCCTCAAGCCAAGAGTCACATCACCTAGATGATTGGCCCAGAGATGTCAGAAAGTCCTCCTTGAGGCATGGCCCTGTGGAAAGAGTACCATCACCTGCATGCCTAGCCTAGTGATATGTCACTATCCAGGAAAGTAGGACCCAAGCAGGAGATCAATATCACCTAGGTGATAGGCCCAGAGGTTTTCCACAATGCCCTGTTTAGGACAAGGCCCTAGCAAAAGGGTACCATCACTTGTTTGACTCATCAAGCCATATGTCGTTATACTCCACTATGTGCCTTCTAATGAAGAGAGTTATGTCACCCAGGTGTTTGACACAGTCATATATCACAATGATTTATGTGGGCATGGCTCAGAAATAAATGTAACATGACCTGGTTCCTGGATCTAGTGATATGCCATGATTCTTACTGACAGCAAAGCCCAGCCAGGAGATTCACATCACCTAGTGGTTTCCCCAGGTAGATATCACAACATATGTGGGGTGGATCCAGTCTACAGAGTCAAATCACACAGGTTCTCAGCAAATATTTACATCACAATTACACTGGCAGAAAATACCTGAGAGGAGATTTACGATTCCACACGTCCCGTTTTCATGTGTAACTGTTGGCTTCATATATGTGAGACAGTGACAGTCATTACTGACTGCTGGGTGTGCATGTAAGAATACAATTTTACCTTTCTGCTGGGTTCTCTTATGACACGATCTGTACAAGTCAAGGTCTTTACCAAATATCTGAGTTTGTTATAACCTTCTGTGATTTTTTTTTTAGCAGAAAGGGATGTAATCACTCCTGTTTTTAAAAAATTATGAGAGTCAAAATTACTCCTATTCATGGGGTCCACATACGAGAGTTATCACCAGGCCTGTGAACTGTGCACAGGTTTACATCAAAGGTTACTTTGTGGTAATGAAACAGTCATGGTAGCCAAACAACCTGAATGCTGAGCCAGAAATAGTCCAATATTTTCTTTGTAGGCAGAATACTTTGTGAAATGTGGCATAACCTGTGTACTTGATCCAGCTCTGTGGCACATTGTCACTTGTGGGCCATGTTCAGGCAGAAGAGGAGAGTCATATCACCTAAATATTTGGTGATATGACTCAGCTAGATTTTGCTTTCAGTGGTATGTCACAATTTCTTCAGTGGGCAGGATCCAGGCAGGACAGAAGAGTCACATTACGTAGATTCTATATCTAGTGATAAGTCACAATGTTTCCTGTGTGCACAGCACTGTCAGGGGAGACACATCACGTAGCTAATAGTCTCAGACATATGTGATAATATCCCCCGGTGAGAGCGCCCAGGCAAAAGAGTCACATCATTATGATTTTGACCCAGTGACATGTAATAATGTCCCCATGGAAAGGAATATGAGCCCCAAAGTCTCAAAACTGGGGCTCAGTGATATGACACAATCTCCTCATCTTTGAGGGTGACAGGTAACTTTTAGCTGAGCATGTGTATTAGTGTCACTGTCTCACTTGTGTACTGGACCAATGTATGACTCTCTCTGCAACATCCGAGGAATTTATAACACCTTCATGAGGGATGCAAACCTCTCTGAGGTGTACATGCTCTTATGAACTCACAATCTTATATATTGCCCTAACCCCAGGTTTTTTAGTCAACATCTCTCCTATAGGCAGAGTTAAGGGAGAAGACCTATTATTATGCCTGTGGGCTGGGTCCAGAAATAAGTCACAATCTCACCTTTGGCCAGATCCACATATAAAAGTCATAATTCCAACCTCGCACTATATTTGCTTGTTACACTCAGAATGTCAACAGTGGGATTTGTAGGTGTGGAATAATGACCACTTTTAATTTCTCCTTGGTGTGTAATTGAGAGCCCCAATGTGAACTTTCTGCTGGCTCCTGTTATGAAACTCCCTACCACAGAAGTGTTTATACTATATAAGATAGTGGTGTAAGCTTCTGTGAGCATGATACAAATATGCAACCTGGGGCTTCTCTATTGTCCTAAGCCTAAGTATAAGAGGGAAAATTTTCCCTATTGGCTCAAACCGAATATAAGTTTGATCATCATGCCTTTGAACTTCAGCAAGGTATATGTCATAATTCCATTTGTGGACAAAAAACTAGGCAGGAGGGTAACATCACTTAGCCAAATAACCTGAATATTGAGCAATTCTGTGCAAAGCAATGTGTCACAATGCCTTCTCTACGCAGGGTATCGAAAACTGGGTCACATAACTGGGTGCTGAACCCATCAATATGGTACCATCTCACATGTGGAAAAAATCCAGCCAGGTAATGAGAGCCAAAACACCTACATAATGGGCCCAAGATATGACAATATACCTTCAGTGGCTCAAGCACAGACAGGAGAGTCACATCAATAGGGTGCTTGGCCCAGTGATATGCAATATGTCATAATTTCCTCTTTATGCAGGACCCAGGCAGAAGAGTAACATCATCCAGTGATGAATCCTGCAATATGACAAAATTCCATTTTTGTAGGCATTGTCCAGAAAAAGAGGAGAGTTATGTACCTTGAGTGCTGGGCTCACCAATGTGTCAAAATCCTCCTATTGTGAAGGCCCAGGCAGAAAAAGAGAGCCACATCACTTAGGTCATGGGCTCAGAGATATGTCCCAATGAGAGGTTTTCCGGGAAACCCTGACTCAACGAAAAATAAATAATGTACACAGATGCATATATTATGCTTATCAGTCTGGCTGAGAGTCCAAGCCACTTACAGACTCCAGTGAGAGTGCTGTCAGCTGTGGCCCTGAGTTGCTGGCTCTCCTGGCATTCATTCAACACACATTAAATGACAAAAGTCTCAAGTAAACACCACTAGAAATTAATTACCATTGCTGACCCCTCTAATACAAAGAAATTACACACCAGCAAATGGTCAAAGGTTAGTTTTAGGACCACATGAGTAAACAAGCTATTTAAATAGACTTCTCTGTATTCCATCGTTAAATACCCTTGCTATAGCTCAAAAAGTATAAGGCTGTCTTCAGCCAAACACTTTATACAAACCTCCAGGCCTTCCAGAGATTATGTGTTTATATTTTACATAAATAATTTCCCACCAGGCTGACTGAACCCCAGCATCCCAATGTCCACCGCAAGCAGGGATCAGGCAGATGAGGAGAGTCAGATCCCCTAGCTGCTTTCCTGGGAATGTGTCACAATGTAACATGTGGACAGAAAGTGGACAAAAGAAACACATCACTTAGGTTCTGGTTCCTGAGATCTTTCACAAGGCTCTCTTAACACAGAACCCAGCAAAGAGAGTTATATCACCTAGATGCAGGTTTCTGCTTATGCCACAATGCTCCACATGGGTAGGGCCAAAGCAGGGATTCACTTCACCGAGGTGATAGGCCCAGATATATGTAACAATGTCCTCTATGGAGCATAGCCCTGGCAAAAGAATATCATCACCTGTGTGACTGGCCTGGAAATATGTCACTCTCCAGGTTGGCAAAGCCCAAGCAGGAAAGCCACATAAACTCTGCGATAAGCCGAGAGATATGTCACAATGCCCTCCTTTGGGCATGGATCTGGCCTAAGAGTTCCCTCACCTGTATGCCTGGGCTAGCAATATGTCACCATCCTTCCTTTGTGCAGGGCCCATTACAGAGAGGAGAGTGGCATCCCCTAAGAGGTGGACACAAATATATGTAACAGCAATTTGGGTGGCATGGTGAAGGCAAGAATATAACATCACCTGGATGCTAGCTCCAGTGATATGTCACAATCATTACTGAGAAAAGGGCCCAGGCAGGAGAGTCACATCACCTCCAGGTTGTCCTAGGTAGAGATCACAATCTCATATATGGGCTGAAACAATTCTGGTGAGTCAGATTACACAGGTGCTTGGCAAAGGTTTACATCACAATCACACTCTCAGAAAATTCCAAAGATGAGATTTACAATACCACACACATCCTGTTTTCATTTAACAACTGGCTTCATACATGTTAGATGATGACAGTCATTACTGTGAGCTAGGTGTGCATACAAGGCTCAAAACCACCTGTAAGCTGAGCCCTGCTTAGATTCTGTGTATGTAAGCCAAAGATTTTGTAAACATGTGTAAGTGTTACAGTCTTCTGTGACCTTTGAACAAGAAGATGATCCAAGACATCACACATGTCATTAAACCTATTTATAAGACTTAAAGTAGCCTCTACTGGCTGAGTCCACATAAATGACTCATTATCATGCCTGTTGTGCAGGCCTAGGAATAGGTTACAATTCCCTCTGTAGTTATAAAGCAGGCAGAAGAGCCACATCACTGAAATCCTGGGCCAGAAATATCCCAATATTCTTATTGTAGGAATATTCCAGTAAGAAATGTCACACAACTGGTGTGCTAAATCCAGCTTTGTGCACAACGTCCCTTGTGGGAAGTGTCCAGGCAGGATAGGAGACTCATATCACCTTACAGCAGGGATCAAAAATATGTCACAATATCTCATGTTGACAGGGCTCAGGAAAAAGAATCAAGTCATTAGGATGCAGTGTTTAGAAATGCTAAAATTACTAAAGAAAGCAGAGTACAGGCCAAAGAAGGGAGTCATGTAACCTAGATGACAGGTAAAGAAATATGTGACCATTCACCCTAAGGACATTGTTAAGATAGCACGATTAATTCACCAAGGTTCTTGGCCCAGGTATTTGTCAAAATCTCATTTGTGGACTGAATCTAGGCAGAATTATTAAGTCACTCAGGAGCTGAGCAATACTATATGTCAGAATTACACTTGTGAAAAAGTTTAAGAATACAACTCACCATCCTGCGCAAGTTCTGACTCCAGACATGAGTTGCTATTAGGCTTTTTTATGGTCTCAGATACATGGCACAATATTATTTGTGGCAAGAGAGAAGGCAGGAAAGTCACATCACCTACGTGGGTGCAAGTCCAATGAGATGTCACAATCCACCTTGTGGGCAGGAAACTGGCCAAAAAGTCACAAAACCGGAAAGCTAATTTCAGTGACATATCAAAACTCCTCATGTTGGCATGAATTTGGCAAGAGAGGAGATTCAGTTCACCTAACAATTGGCCTCACTATATGTCAAAATGGCTCTAATATTCAGTACCAAGGTTGGAGAGCGATCTCACATTGATGCTGAAATCAGGAATATGTCACAGTCTCCCTGTGGCCAGGGAACAGGCAAAAGTGAAGAAACATCACCTAGGTGCTTAGCCAAGTGATATGTTACAATGCTTTCTGTTGGCAGAACCCAAAATAGAGAATCACATCACCTGGGTGCAGTACCAAGCTATGTGTTACAATACACTATAAGTGCAGGGCCAAGGCAGTAGAAAGGAGTCATATCACTTATGTAATGGACCTTGATATAAGACACAATTCTCATTGTAGGCAAGTTTAGGCAGATAATTCGCCTCACCAGGATGATGGTCCTAGTGATATACAAAAGTGCCCTTCATAGGCAGTGCGAAGGAATGTGTTACGTATTGCTTAGGGCCATATTCTTCCACATATGGCACAATTTCATCTGTAGTGTGGACCAAAAAAAGGGGTCAAATTATTCATGTGCTGGGGAAATTTACCTGTCCCAATCACACTCTCAGAAATGTTTGAAATAAGTTGCACATTCTACACAAGTCCTGGTTTTGTGTATGAAAGTCAAATCTTTCTATGAGTTGAGTTGATGCAGAGGAGTCACATTTCAGCAATGATGCAGATCCATCTATAACAGCCAGAATCCCACCAGAAGATTATGTTTCAGCTGGGGAGTCACAACACCACATTGTGCTGAATCATGCTGCAAATGTTACCAAACCACCTGTGATTAAGAGGCAGGTATAAGAGTAATTATTTCAGCTTTTGACTTCTATTAGGTATGCATGCAAGAGTCATATTCTCACCTCGTTGCTGATCTCTTTTATGACACTCTTTGCACCATAAAGGGTTTATATTATATGCCTGAGTCTTATAATTCTTCATGAACTTTGTACAAGTAAAAATCCCAGGACTTTACCCATGGACTTGAGACTGGCTGTAAGACTCAAAATATCTCTGCTTGCTGGGTCCAGGTATAAAATTTATTATGCATGTGTCCTTAACACAGAGTGTTAAAATAGTCCTACTGGGTTGGTCCAGTTATAAGAGTTATTATTGTGCATATGTGCTTAACTCATGTGTATATCACAATTTCACCTGTTAGCAGGGACAATGCAGGAAAGTCACATTATCTGGGTGCTGAGCCAGTGATACAGTATAATCTCTTTTATAGGCTGGGCCTAGTCAGAAAATCACACAACCTGGATACAGCCTCAAATAGTATGTTACCAAGCCGGCTATAGACAGGGAAGAAGCATAAGAGGAGAGTTACTCCACCTAGGTGCTGGGCCCTGCAATATTTAATAATGTATCTATTGCCAGAGTCTGGAATATGAAGGAAAGCCATATCACCTAGGTGCTGCAATCAGCAGTATGTCACAAGATTTTTGGTAAGCAGAACCTTAGCCAGGAGGAGGATCGCATGACATAAATGTTGGCCAAACAATATTTCACAATGTCTTCTAGGGGCAGGGTACACATAGGAGAGAGAAGTCACCCAGCTTATAAGCCCAGGGTTATGTGATAATATCTCAGGTTGGCAGGGTCCAGGCAGAAAAGTCATAATATTATTATTATAACTCAACAATATGTCATAATGAACCCATGAGAAGATATTTAAGCCAAAAAGTCTCAACACCTCAGTACAAGGCCTAAGAATATGTCAAACCTTTGGTCTTTGAGGGTGACACCATTAACTGTGACCTGGATGTGTATATGACAGTCACAAACTCACATTTTTCCTGGGCTATTGTATGACACTCTACAACATTTGAAGGCTTTATACAGCATGCATGAGAGTTGCAAATCACTCTGAGTCCTGTATGCCCATTTGGATTCAAAATCATAACTACTGGCCTAACCCAGGTATAATGGTCAACATCTCTTCTATAGGCTGGGATTAGGGATGAGACACATTATTATGCGTGTGAGCTGGATCCAGAAATGAGTCATCATCCCACCTGTGGGACATATGTGGGACATATGAAAGTCACAATTCCAACTTTGTACTTTATTCACTTGTTAGACTCAGGACCGTAACAGTGGGATTTGCATAGGTGGAATGGTAGCAACATTTGCTTTTACCAGGGTGTATAATCTAGAGACCCAATCTGAAGTTTTTGATGGTTTCTATGATAAAACTCTCTGTACCACATGAGGAGATTATACTTTATGAGTTAGTATTGTAACGCACTGTGAGTTTGATACAAATATGTAACACAGGACGTTGCCCTAAGCCTAGCGATGAAAGACAAAGTAAGTCCTGTTGTCAGAGTCTGGAATATGAAGGAGAACCATATCACTAATATAGGTTTTACTCTCATGCCTGCAAACTGAAGTAAAGTATATATCATAGTCCCATTTGTGGGCAAAAACTACGTTGGCAGGTAAGATTGTTTAGCTGCTGTGTCAAGTAGCATGTCACAATGTTCTCTCTAGAAAGGGTATAGGAATTAGAGTCACATTAGCTGGGTGCTGGATTCAGCAGTATGAAACCATCCCACATGTGCAAAATCCCAGCCAAGGGATGAGAGTCAAAACACCTACATAATAAGCCCAGGATATGTTAAAAATCTTCTGTGCATACGGGACAGGCATGAGAGATGAAATAATGCCCTGCTCTGAAATGACATTGTCAGGTTGCTGTCCCCAGCAATATGCCATAATTCAGTCTATACACTGGACCCAAGCAAAGGAGTAACATTATCTCGTGGCTGAGGCCTGCAATAGGTCAAAAACTCTATTGGTGGGCATGGCTGTAGAAAAAAACTAGAGACAAATAACATGAGTAATGAACTCAGCAATATGCCACAATCCCCTCATTGTAAAGAACAGGCAGAAAAAGAGAGTCACTTCACTTAGGTCATGGACATAGGTATATATCCCACTGTCCCCAGTAAGGAAAGCCCAGTCAGAAAAGGTGACTCATATCACCTAGGGACTTTCCTAGTTACATATCACATTCTAACACATGGGCAGACACCAAGCAGAAGAGCAACATAAACTAGGTAGAGATTCAAGCAATATGTCAGCATCCCCAATAAGGACAGTTTCAAAGAAAAAAAAAGAGAGAGAGAATCACAACTCCTGGGTGCTGGGTTCAGCAATATGTAATAATTTCCTGTCTTGGCAGAATCCAGGACAAAGAGGAGACTCATGTCACCTAGGTTTTGGACTCAGCAGTATGTCACAATTTCTTCAGTAGGCAGGATCCAATCAGCAGAGGAGAGTCACATTTCCTAGATGCTATATCTAGCTATATGTCACAATGACCCCTGTGGGCAGGGCACTGGCAGGAGAGCCATATCAGCTAGCTGAGGGACCCAGAGACATATGAAAATATATACTGTTTGCAGGACCCAGGCAGAAGAGTCACATTATCATGATCTTGACCCAGTGATATGTAACAATGCTCTTATTGAAAAATTATATATATACCAAACTTCTTAACACCGGGGTATTAGGCCAAGGCATTATGACTCAATCTCCTCATCTTTAAGGGTGACACCATTAACAGTTAGCTAGTTTTGTATGCAAAAGTCACAATCTCAGGTATGTGCTGGCCATTGTGTGACACTCTACATCTGATAACTGTATACAACATGTGCGAAAGTTGCAAACCTCTCTGGGGCCTGCATGCTTATATGGAATCGCAAACTTACAGATTGTCCTAAACCCACATATGACAGTCAACATCTCTCCTATAGGCTGGCTTAAAGAATGAGACCACTATTATTCCTGTGAGTTGGGTCCAGAAATGAGCCATGATTCCACCTGTGGCCAGGTTGACTTATGAAAGTCAGGATTCCAACTTTATGCTATATTCTCTTGTTAGACTCAGGACATCAACAATGGGCTTTGTAAATGTAGAATGATAACAACTTTTACTTTCACCTGTGTAGTCAAGGGTCACAATCCTAATTTTTTGCTGGGCCCTGTTATGAAACTCTGTGTAACACCCAAGGAGTTTGTATGATATGAGTTAGCGTTGTAAACTTCTGTGAGATTTGTACAAATATGCAATAAAGGAACTTACTGAACAAAACCTAATGGTGAGTGGCAAAATATCTCCTATTGGCAGAATCCCAATATAATATTGATCATCATGCCCTTCAACTGCAGGAAGGTATACATCATAATCTTATTAGTGGGCTAATAAACAAGCAGAAGGTTAACATATTGCTAGGCCAAGCAATATGTCACAATGTCCTCTCTAGGCAAGGCCTAGGGAAGAGAGTCATATTAACCAGGGGCTGGAGCCAGCATTATAATACAACCACAGGTGGGAGAAACCCAGCAAAGTGGTGAGAGCCAAAGCTCCTATAAAATGGGCTAAAGATACCTGAAAATACTTTATTTTGCTCAGTCACAAGCAGGAGAGTCACGTCATTAGGGTGCTGGACCAAGCAATATGCCACAATTCCCTGTTTATGCATGACTTATGCAGAAAAGTAGCATCATCCAGGTGCTGGGCCCTGAAATATTGCAAAATCCCTGTTCCTGGGTGTTTTTGAGCAAGAAGATGAGAGTCAAACTACCTATGTGCTAGGTTCATCAATATGTCAAAATGTTTCTATTGTTAAGGTCCAGACAGAAGAAGAGAGTCCCATCACTTATGTCACCAGTAGACAGAGATATGCTATGTCTATCATATTGGGCCAGAGATATGGCCCAATGTCACCAGTAGACAGAGCTCAGGCAGAAAGAGTCAGATCACCTAGATGCTTCTTTAGGTGTATGTCACAATTTAATATGTGATCAGAAACCATGGTGAAGAGCCACATCTTCTGTTCCTGTGTCCTGAGATACTCACAAGTCAGTCCCCCTTAGAAAAGAACCTAGTGAAGTTAGTTACATCACCTAGGTTCATGCTCCACTATTATTCACAATGCTTCATGTGGGCAGGGACAAGCAGGACCAAGGACCAGGGCCAAGCATATCACTTAAGTGATAGGCTGAGAGATATGTCACAAAGCCTTCCTGAAAGCATGACCCTGACAAAAGAACACCACCATCTTTGTGCCTGTCCTAGCAATATGTCACTATTCAAGTAGGCAACTCCTGAGCAGAAAAGCCATATCACCTACATGATAGTACCTGTGATATGTCAAAATGCCGTCTTTTGGGCATGACCCTGGCAAAAGAGTATTGTCACCTGTGTGCCTGTCCTAGTAATATGTCACTCTTTTGCCCTGTGTGCAGGACTTATTTCAGAGAGGAGAGTTACATCTTCTAACTAATGTACAAAGTTATATGTCACAATGATGTCTTTAGGCATGGTGTAAGCAAAATGTAATGACACTTTGATGCTGGATCCAGTGATGTCACAATTGTTACTGACAGCAGGGTCTGGGCAGACAAGTCTCATCACTTCAAGATTGTCTCAGGGAGATACCCAAATCTCATATGTAGACTATAACCAGTCTGAAGAGTGAAATCACACAGGTGCTTGGCAAATATTTATATCATAGTTACAGTGAAATAAAATTCTGGGGATTAGATTTAAAAGATCACATACATTCTGTTTTCATGTAGGAGAGTTGTCTTCATCCATCTGTGATGGTGAAAGTCCTTACTGTCAGCTGGGTGTGCATATGAGACTCAGAATTTCCTCTCTGTGCTGGGCCCTATAGTGACACTGTCTATACAACCCAAGGATGTTATAAAATATGTGTGACTGTTGTAATCTTCTGTAACATTTTTACCAGAATTAGGCCCCAGACATTACTCATGTACCTCAACCTAGTTATACTAGTCAAAATTTCTCCTATTGGCTGGGTCCATATATGACTAGAAATATCATGCCAGGACAACCATATCAACTAAATCTTCAGCCAGAAATATTCCAATATTCTCTTTGTAGGTAGTGATATAAGAGAAATGTCACAAAACTTGGGTGCTGGTCTCATTGATTTGTAAATTTTTCTATATTACATTGCCAAACGCGTGTTATAGATTGCTCAGATGCTTGGTGCATGTATGACACAATTTCAACTGTGCTCTGGGCCTAGAAAGGAGAGTCATACACTCAGATGCTGGGCAAAGTCACACTGCTCAATCACACGCTCAAAAATGTTCAGAAATATATTTGACAGTTCCACACAAGTTCGGCCTTTGGATGTAACAGTGAACATCTCCCATGAGTTGGGTCGAAGTACAAGGAGTCACTATGTCATCAATGGGCAAGGTCCATTTATAAAAGCTCCATTCATACTTGAAGATTATATTCCAGTAAGAGAGTCAAAGCACTACACGTCTGCTGAGCCATTGTTCAAACGTCAAAAAAACCACCTGTAGGTCAGTTTCATGTATGAGAGTAACAATTACAAGCTTCAAAGTGCCTATCTGTGTAAGATCTAGTGCCTCATTGGTAGGCTCTGTTAATGTGTGAGAATGACAATTATGTCAGCTGAATGTGCATCCAAGAGTCACAATAGCACCTGGTTGCTATTGTCCGTTGTGACACTGTATGTACGACACAGGGTTTGCATGATATATCTGAGTTGCATACTTTTCTGTGAATTCTTACAGATGGGAAATTAAGGATTTTATCCATGTTCTTAAGTCTGGCTATGAGAGTCAAAATATCTTCCCTGGCTGGGTCTAGGTATGAGAGTTATTATTTTGCATATGAGCTTAATCAAGTTATATGTGACAAATTCACCTTTGGACAGAGACAATCAGAAAAGCGATATCTTCTGAGTCCTGAGACAGGAATACATTATAATCTCCTTTGTAGGCAGGACCAAGTCAAAGAAGTCAAAAAAAGGGTACAGTCTCAAATAATATGTCATAATGCCTACTGTGTACAAGGTGGAAAAAACAGTGGATTGTCACAACCCCTAGGTTGTGCACTCAGCAATAGATTATAATTCTATCTCTTGGCAGTGTCCTGGACAAAGAGGAGAGTCACATAACCTAGGTTTTGCATTCAGTTGTATGTCACTCTTTCTTTAGTGGGCAGGGTTCAGGCAGGAGAGGAGAGTCATATAACCTAGCTGCTATATCTGGCGATATGTCACAGTGTCTCCTGTGGGCAAGGCACTAGCAGGAGAGACATATCACCTAGCTTATAGTCCCAGAGATAAGTGATAATATCCCCTGTTGTCTAGGTCCAAGCAGAAGAGTCACATTCTTATAATTCTGACACAGCAAGTTGCAACAGTGCTCCTAAGGAAAAGAATTTTAGCCAAAAAGTGTCAAAACCTGAGAACTAGGCCCAGTGATATGACACAATCTCCTCATCTTGTATGATGATACCTTTAACTTTAGCTGAGGATGTATATTAGAGTCTGAATCTCACGTGTATGCTGGGCCAATGCATGATACTTTGTAAGGCATCTGGGGCTTTATGAAACCTCATTGAGAGTTGCAAACCTCTCTGAGGTGTTTATGCTCATGGGGACTCAAAATCATAAATATTGCCCACGTTTGATAGATGATATCTCTCCTATAGGCAGGGTTAAAAGGGAACACTTATTATTATGTCTGTGATCTGGGTTCAGAAATGAGCAGCCATCCCGCCTGTGGCCTAATCCACATGCAAAAGTTACAATTCCTACTTTGTGCTGTATCGCCTTGTTAGAATCAGAACCTCAACAGCATGCACTGTAAATGTGTGATGGTGACTACTTTTAACTTCAACTGGATGTGTAACCGAGAGTCTCAATCTGAAATTTTTGCTGGCCCCTTTTATGAAACTCTCTACCGCAAAGAGTTTATACAATATAAGTTAGTGTTGTAAGATTCTGTGAGGTTCCTATCAATATGCAACACAGGAACTTACCTATTATTTTATATCTAGAAACTTACTTATTGTTTTAACAATGAGAGGGAATATCTCCTATTGGCAGAATCCCAGTATAAGTATAATAATCATGCCTGTGGACTGAATCAAGGTATATGATATAATCCCATTGGGGTCAAAAAATTAGACAGGAGGGTAACATCACTTAGATGCTGTGCAAACCAATATGTCACATTTCCTTCTCTAGGCAGGGCATATGAAATTGGATCACATTACCTGGGTGCTGGACCCAGAAATACACCATTTCACATGTGGAAAAAACTCAGCCAAGTTATGTGAGCCAAAACACCTACCAAATGGACCCAAGATGTGTCAAAGTACCTTCAGTGGCTCCACCACAGGCAGGAGACACACATTGTAAGGGTTCTGGGCCCAGCAATAGGCAATATGCCATAATTTCCTCTTTATGCATAACTCAGGCAGAAGAGTAGCATCATCTGGGTTATGGGTCCTGCAATAAGTCACAATACCTTTTTTTGTGGGCACGGTTCAGGAAAAAGAGGAGAGTCACATATCCTGACTGTTGGGCTCAGCAATGTGTCAAAATCTCCTATAGTGAAAACCCAGGCAGAAAACGAGAGTCACAACACTTAGGTCATGGGCTCAGTGATATTTCCCAATGTTTCTATATCCAATGGTATGTTATGATCTCTTCTGATGGCACTGTTAAGACATGAGATGCAAATCACCAAGTTTCTTTGGCCAAGGTGTATTGAGGACCTGAGGATCATTAAATCACTCAGGTCCTGGGCAAAGTGTATTTCACAATTACACTTATGGCAAGATTCAGCTATGAGACTCATGATCCTACACAGGTCCTGGCTGCAGGTACAATAGTCATTAATAGGCCTTTGATCTGGTCTCACATATATGGCAAAATATCACCTGTGGACAGAGAGAATAAAGAAAACAATCACCTGATTGTGTACTGGTCCAATGAAATGTCACAATCCTCCTTGTGGGAAAGACTCTGGAAGAAAGGTCATATCACCTGGATGCTGATTTCAGTGATATATCTAAGTCCTCCCAACTGTGGGCAGAGCTTAGGCACAAGAGAAGGTGAATATCACACAAGTAAGTGGGCTGGATATATGTCACAATGCCCTCTATATGAAGGACCAAGGCAGGAGAGTGACCTCACCTTGGTGCTAAGTTCAGCAATAAGACACAATCTCTCTGGTCTTCAAGGCACAGGCTAGAGAGAAGAAACATCACCGAGGTGCTGAGACAAGTGGTAATTTACCAAGCTTCCTATTGGAAGAACTCCTTCAGAAATAGAGTCAGGTCACCTGGGTGTAGTACCCAGTTAAGTGGCACAATGCACCATTAGTGCATGGTCAAGGCAGTAGCATGAAGTCACATCACTTACGTGATGGACCTAGATAAAAACCTCAATGATCTTTGTTGGCAGGGTTCAGTCCAAGGTTTTATGTCAGCTAGGTGCTGGCCCCAGTTATATATAAAACTGCCCTTTGTCTCATTGTCAAAAAAGTGTTATACGTTGCTTAGGTGCTTGGTGCATGTATGTCACAATTTCAACAGTGCTCTGGGCCTAGAAAGGAGAATCAAACACTCAGATCCTGGGCAAAATCATGCTTCTCAATAATGTACTCAAAAATGTTCAGAAATAAACTTCACAGTCCCACACAAGTGCTAGCTTTGGTTATGAAAGTCAACACCTCCTATGAGTTGGGTCAAAGTACTGGAGTCACAATCTCCACAATGGGCAAGATCCATGTATAAGAGTCCCAATCCTACTTAAAGATTGTGTTCCAGTAGGAAAGTCAAAACACCACAGGTCTTCAGATTAATGATTAAACCATCACCAAACCGCTTTGTATCAGATTCAGGTGTGTAAGTAAAAGTGCTTATGTGTGTGAGATTTTCTACCTTATTCGTAGGCTCTGATCATGTGTGAAAATGACAGTCATTTCAGCTAGTTATGCATCCAAGAGTCACAATAGCACTTGGTTGCTGGTGACTGTATTGACATACTTTGTACAACCCAGGCTTTACATGATATGTCTGAGTAGAATACTTTTCTGTGAATTCTTACAGGTGGGAGATCTAGGACTTTACCCATGACCACAAGACTGGCTAGGAGAGTCAAAATATCTTCTCTGACTAGGTCTGGGTATGAGAGTTATTATTGTGTATTTGAGATGAATCCAGTATATGCCAAAATTTTGCCTACACATAGAGACAAGACAGCAGAGTCATATCATCTGGGTGCTGAGCCAGGGATACTTATATCTCTTTCGTAGGCATGACCTAGGCAGAAGAGTCATATTACCTTGGTACAGTCTCAAATAATTTGTCATAATGCCCACTGTATACAAGGTTGAAAAAATAGTGGATTGTTACACACCCTAGGTGTTGGGCACAGCAATATGTTATAATTCCCTTTCTGGATAGAGACCAGGACAAAGAGAAGAGTCACATCACCTAGGTTTTGCATTCGGTGGTATGTCACAAATTATTCAGTGGGCAGTATCAAGGCAGAGAGCAGAGCCACATTACCTATATGCTATATTCAGCGATATGTCACAGTGTCCCCTGTGGGCAGGGCCCTGGCAGGAGAGACACACCACCTACCTGATAGGCCCAGAGATATGTGATAATATCTCCTGTTGTCTGACTCCAAGCAAAAGAGTCATCTTATGATGATTCTAACTCAGCTATAGTATACATTGTATGTATAGATATACATACATACATTGTGTATGTATATATATACACACTACATGTATGTATATTACATATATACACTACAAGTGTGTATATATAGTATACATATAATATATAATACATATACATATATAATATGTATATATAATACATATACATATATAATATTATAATACATATATATGTAAATATAAAATACATATATATAATACATAGTAAACACACACACACAGTGATATTTCACAATGCACCCATGGTAAAGAATTTAAGTCAGAATTCTTAACACCTGGGTGCAAGGCCTAGAAATATGACACAATCTCTTCATCTTTTAGGTTACACCTTTAACTGTTAGTTTGGTGTGTATACTACAGTCACAACCTTACATGTGTTCTGCGTCATTTTATGACACACTCTACAACATTCAGAGTGTTTATAACATTCAGAGTGTTTATGCAACATACATGATAGTTACAAACCACTCTGGGGCTTACATGCTCATATTCACTCACAATCTTACATATTGCCTAAACCCGGTTATGATTGTCAACATCTGTCTAATAGTCTGGGTTCAGATAGGAGACCCATTATTATGCCTGTGATCTGGGTCCAGAAAATAGTCACCATCTCACCTACAACAAGAACCACATATGAAAGTCAAAATTTCAATTTTGTACTTTATTTACTTGTTATGCTCAGGACTTCAACATTTGGCTTTGTAAATATGGGATGCTGAAAACATTTGCACTCACCTGCACATCTAATCAAGAGTCATAATCTTAACCTCTTGCTAGGCCCTGTTATAAAACTCTGTGTACCACCCAAGCAGTTTTTATAATATGAGTTGGTGTTCTAAGCTGCTGTGAGCTTTCTACAAATATGCAACTCACAATTTTAAATTTATTACCCTAAGTGTAGAGATGATAGGCAAATACCTACTATTGGTGGAATCCCAGTTTAAGTTTGATCAACATGCCTCTGAATTGGATCAATGTAAATTTCATAATCCCATTTGTAGGGGAAAAAAAACTTGTCAAGAGGGTAGCACAACTGAGGTGCTGTCCCAAGCAATAGATCACAATGCATTCTCTAGGTAGGGTCTAGAAATGAGGGTTATATTAACTAGGTGCTGGGCTCAGCAATATGACACAATCCCCCCACCTAAAAACAAACTAACAACAACAAAAAAAAAACAGTCAAATGATGAAAGCAAAATTCCTACTGGGTGTGCCCAAGATATGTAAAATTACTTTCTGTTGCTCTGGCACTGGCAAGAGGAGAGGGTTACAGCATCATGGTGGGGGGCACAGCAATATGCCATAACTCTCTTTTTATGCAGGATCCAGGCAGAAGAGGAACATCACTTGGGTGCTGGGCCATGCAATATGTCAAAATTCCTTTTCATGGGCATGTTTTGGGAAAAAAAGAAGAGTCATATAACCTAAGTATTGGGCTTAGCAATATGTCACATCACCCAATTGTAAAGGCTCAGGCAGAAGAATAGAATTACATCACTTAGGATACTGGCTTAGATATAAGGCCCAATGTCCCAAATAAGCAAGGCTCAGGCAGAAGAGGAGTCATATCACATAGGTGCTTCCCTAGCTATATGACAAAATCTAACGTGAGGTGAAGCCACGCAGAAGAGTCACACCACCTTGATCCTGGTTCCTGAGATGCGTTACAAGATTCCCTTAGGACAAGACTCAGACAAGAGAGTTACAACAAATAGGTGTAGATTCTACCTTTATGTCACAATTCTCTTTGTGGGCCATGCTGAAGCATTTCCTAAGTGATAGGCACAGAGATATGTCACAACATTCTCCTATTCTCCTTGAGGCATGACCCTGGCAAAAGAGTACCAACACTTGTAGGCCTAGTGTAGCAATATGTCACTATTCAGGAAAGCAGGAGCCAAGCAGGAGAGCAACATAATCTAAGTGATCAGCCCAGAGATTTGTCACAATTCTTTCTTTGGGACATGGCTCTAACAAGAGTACTGTTACCTGTGTGCCTGGCTGTACCATGTCACTATCCCCCATGTGTGCAGGGTTTATTCTAATTAGGAGAGTTATATCACCTAAGTATTTGACACGGTAATATGTCACAACAATATCTTTGGGCATGGCTAAGGCAAAGATGTAACATGACCTAGGTGCTGGATGTAGTAATAAGTCATGATTCTTACTGAGAGCAGGGCCTAGGCAGGAGAGTCACATCATGTAGAGTTTGGCCCAGGTAGATATGACAATAACATATGTGGGCTGGAACAATTATGGAGAATTAAATCACACAGGTGCTCAACAAAGATTTATATCACAATAACACTATCAGAAAATTCCCCTGATGAGGTGTACAGTATCACGTGTGTGCTGTTTTCATTAGTGACAGTTAGCTTCATATAGGTGAGATGGTGATTAGACCTTAGTGACAGCTGGGTGTGCATTTGAGACTCACAATTTCACCTCTCTGCTGGGTTCTGTTATGACACTCTGTACAAGCCAAAGGCTTTATAAAATATGTGAGGCCATTATAATCTTCTTTGACCTTTTGTTTGTTTTTTTTTTTTTTTTTTGGTGCCAGATAGAGATTTAATCACTCATGTCTCTAAAGCAAGTTATGAGAGTCAAAATTACTTCTATTTGTGGGATCCACATAAGAAAGTCATTATCATGCCTGTGAGCTGTGCTTGGGTATATATCACAATTCAGTCTGTGGTAATGAAACAGGCATGACAGACAAGTCACCTAAATACTGAGCCAGAAATTTTCCAATATTCTCCTTGTAGGCATGTTCTGGGCAGAAAAGTTGCATAACTCAGGGGTTACATCAACATGTATAACACAATACCCCTTGTAGGCAGTGTCCAGGCAGAAGAGGAGACTCATATCACCTAAATGGTAAGCCCAGAGATATGTCACAAGGTCTCCTCTTGAAAGGACCAGGCAAGAGATTCATATAATTTGGAGGTAGTGCTTAGAAATGCTACAATCCATAGTGGAAGCAGGGTCCAGGTAAGAGAGGAGTGTCAGGTAACTAGATGTTGGGTCCAGAAATCTGTTACAATCCTTCTGCAAGATATTGTTAAAACAGGAGAGTGAAATCATAAAGGTGATCACATGAACTATATGTCTAAATCGAATTTGAGGGCTACAATTAGGCAGTATTATTAAATCACTCAGGAGCCGGGCAAAGGTATATGTCACAATAACACTGGTGGAAAGTTCCAGGAATGGGAGTTTCCATCTTGCATATGACCAGGATCCAGGTTTAAAAGTCATGATTAGGCTGGGCGCAGTGGCTCATGCCTGTAATCCCAGCACTTTGGGAGGCCGAGGCGGGCGGATCACGAGGTCAGGAGATCGAGACCATCCTGGCTAACACGGTGAAACCCCGTCTCTACTAAAAATACAAAAAATTAGCCGGGCGTGGTAGCGGGTGCCTGTAGTCCCAGCTACTCGGGAGGCTGAGGCAGGAGAATGGCGTGAACCCGGGAGGCGGAGCTTGCAGTGAGCCGAGATCCCGCCACTGCACTCCAGCCTGGGCGACAGAGCGAGACTCCGTCTCAAAAAAAAAAAAAAAAAAAAAAAAAAAAAAAAAAAAAATTCATGATTAGTCATCTTAAGTGGTGTTAGGTATATGGCACAATATGACCTGTGGGCAGAGAACAAACAGAAATGTCACATCATTTGGGTGGGTGCTGGTCCAGTGAGATGTCACAATCTTTCTTGTGGGCAGGACCCTGGAATAAGACTCACATCAGCTGGATACTGGTTTTAGTGATAAATCAAAATTCCCCCTGTGAGCAAATCTTAAGAGGATGAGGAGACTCACTTTACCTAAGGAATTGGCCTAGACATGTCACAATGTTCACTATGTTCAGAACCACGGTATGAAAGTGACATGACTTCAGCACTAGGGTTAGCAATATGAAACAGTCTCCCCTCTGATCACAGCAAGGCAAGAGAGAAGAAGCATTAGCTAGGTGCTGAGCTAAGTGATATGTTACAAAGCTTCCTGCTGGCAGAACCCTAAACAGAGAGTCATATCACCTGGGTGCAGTACCCAGTTATGTGTCACAATGAACTGAAATAGCAGGGCCAAGGCACTAGAAGGGAGTGACATCACTTATATGAACTTATATGATGGACTTAACTGTAAGCCACAATGCCTTTTGTAGGCAGGGAAAAGACAAAGAATTCACCTCACCTTGATGCTAGTCCCAATGATATGTAAAAGTATCCTTGGTAGTCAGGCCCAGGAAGCTTTGCTTAGGTGTACTGTCCACATATGTCACAATTTTATCTGTGGTCATGGCCTAAAAAGGAGAGTCAAATTATTCAGGAGCTGGGCTAACTTCTACATTCTAATCACACACTTGGAAATATTCAGAAATAAGTTCCACAGCCCTACACAAGTCCTGGCTTTGTGCATGTGAGTCAACATCTCCTGTGAGTTGAGTCAAAGCTGAGGACTCACAGTCTTAACAGGATCCATGCATAAGTTGTCCAGTTCCACTTGAAGATTATGTTCCAGTAGGAAAGTCACAATCTCACAGTTGGGCTGAATATTGCATCACCACACTACCCATGGGGTTGAACCGTGTATGAGGGGAAAAATTTCAACCTTTGACTGCTCTTTTGTGTGAAATTTAGTACCCTACTTGTAGGCCATGTTCTTGTGTAAGAATGACAATCAAGCTAGCTGGGTGTGCCTCCATGATTTGCAATCACCCCAGGTTGTTCTTCCCTATCATGACACTCTTTTTACCACTGAGGCTTTATATGATATGTCTGAGTGTCATAATCCTCTGTGAACTTTATACAATTAGGAGACCCATTATTTTACTTATGGCAATAAGACTAGCTATAAGAATCAAAATCTCTCTCCTTTCTGGGTCCCAGTTTGATGGTTATAATTGTGCATGTGAGATGATCCCAGGCATATGACATAATTTCACCTGTGGGCAAAAACAAGGAAGGAGAGTCTCATCACCTTGATGCTGAGCTCCTGATACACTATCAACTCCTTTGCTGGCAGGGGCAAGCAAGGAGAGTCACATCACCTGGATACAGCCACAAGTAATATGGCACCATGTCCACTGTAGACAGGGTTGAAAAAAACAGGAAACTCACATCACCTAGGTGCTGGGCTCAGCAATATGTCATAATCCCCTCTCGTAACAAACTCCAGAATAAAGGGGAAAGTTGCACTACCAAGGTTTTGCACTCAGCTGTATGGCACAATTCCTTTAGTAGGGAGGTCCTAGGCAAGAGAGAAGAGATACATTTCCTAGATGCTACATACAAAAATATCACAATATTTCTTGGGGGCAAAGCACAAGAAAAAGACAAATCACCTACCAGTTAGGCTCAGAGATATGTGATGATATCTCTTGTTGGCAGGGCCAGGGCAAAAGTGTCACATTATTATGATTCTGACATGATATGTCACAATACACACAAGAAATAATTTAAGCAAAAGTTTTAACAACTGGGTACTAGGCCCAGTGATATGACACAATCTGCTCATCTTTGAGGGTGGCACCTTTAACTGTTACCTAGGTGTGTATATAGAGTCACTATGTCCTGAAGCAGGACTCAAGAAGAAGAAGAGAGTGGCATCACCTAGGTGTTTCTTTAGGTATATGTCACAGTCTAACACATGGGAAGAAACCAGGCAAAAGGGCCACATCACCTCGGTGCTGGGTCCTGAGATATGTCACAAGGCTTCCTTAGGAAAACACCAAGGAAAAAGAGTAACATCATCTCAACTTTGGTGAATCTGACAATTATGTGTCTTGGAGTTGCTCTTCTCGAGCAGTATCTTTGTGGCGTTCTCTGTATTTCCTGAATCTGAATGTTGGCCTGCCTTGCTAGATTGGGGAAGTTCTCCTGGATAATATCCTGCAGAGTGTTTTCCAACTTGGTTCCATTCTCCCCGTCACTTTCAGGTACACCAATAAGACGTAGATTAGGTCTTTTCACATAGTCCCATATTTCTTGAAGGTTTTGCTCATTTCTTTTTATTCTTTTTTCTCTAAACTTCCCTTCGTGCTTCATTTCATTCATTTCATCTTCCATCGCTGATACCCTTTCTTCCAGTTGATCGCATCGGCTCCTGTGGCTTCTGCATTCTTCATGTAGTTATTGACCCTTGGTTTTCAGCTCCATCAGCTCCTTTAAGCACTTCTCTGTATTGGTTATTCTAGTTATACATTCTTCTAAATTCTTTTCAAAGTTTTCAACTTCTTTGCCTTTGGTTTGAATGTCCTCCCATAGCTCAGAGTAATTTGATCATCTGAAGCCTTCTTCTCTCAGCTCGTCAAAGTCATTCTCCGTTCAGCTTTGTTCCTTGCTGGTGAGGTACTACGTTCCTTTGGAGGAGGAAAGGCACTCTGCTTTTTAGAGTTTCCAGTTTTTCTGCTCTATTTTTTTCCCCATCTTTGTGATTTTATCTACTTTGGGTCTTTGATGATGCTGATATACAGATGGGCTTTTGGTGTGGATGTCCTTTCTGTTTGTTAGTTTTCCTTCTAATAGACAGGAACCTCAGCTGCAGGTCTGTTGGAGTACCTGGCCGTGTGAGGTGTCAAAGTTTAAATGAAGGAAAAAATGTTAAGGGCAGCCAGAGAGAAAGGTCGGGTTACCCTCAAAGGGAGGCCCATCAGACTAACAGCGGATCTCTTGGCAGAAACTCTACAAGCCAGAAGAGAGTGGGGGCCAATATTCAACATTCTTAAAGAAAACAATTTTCAACCCAGAATTTCATATCCAGCCAAACTAAGCTTCATAAGTGAAGGAGAAATAAAATACTTTACAGACAAGCAAATTCGGAGAGATTTTGTCACCACCAGGCCTGCCCTAGAAGAGCTCCTGAGGGAAACACTAAACATGGAAAGGAACAACCGGTACCAGCCACTGCAAAATCATGCCAAAATGTAAAGATCATTGAGACCAGGAAGAAACTGCATCAACTAAAGAGCAAAATAACCAGCTAACATCATAATGACAGGATCAAATTCACACATAACAATATTAACTTTAAATGTAAATGGACTAAATATTCCAATTAAAAGACACAGACTGGCAAAATGGATAAAGAGTCAAGACCCATCAGTGTGCTGTATTCAGGAAACCCATCTCATGTGCAGAGACACACATAGGCTCAAAATAAAGGGATGGAGGATCTACCAAGAAACTGGAAAACAAAAAAAGGCAGGGGTTGCAAACCTAGTCTCTGATAAAACAGATTTTAAAGCAACAAAGATCAAAAGAGACAAAGAAGGCCATTACATAATGGTCAAGGGATCAATTCAACAAGAAGAGCTAACTATCCTAAATACATACGCACCCAATACAGGAGCACCCAGATTCATAAAGCAAGTCCTGAGTGACCTATAAAGAGACTTAGACTCCCACACATTAATAATGGGAGACTTTAACACCCCACTGTCAATATTAGACAAATCAATGAGACAGAAAGTCACAAAGGATACCCAGGAATTGAACTCAGCTCTGCACCAAGCAGACCTAATACACATCTACAGAACTCTCCACCCCAAATCAACAGAATATACATTTTTTTCAGCACCACACCACACCTATTCCAAAATTGACCACATACTTGGAAGTAAAGCTCTCCTCAGCAAATGTAAAAGAACACAAATTATAACAAACTATCTCTCAGATCACAGTGCAATCAAACTAGAACTCAGGATTAAGAATCCCACTCAAAACCGCTCAACTACATGGAAATTGAACAAACTGCTCCTGAATGACTACTGGGTACATAACGAAATGAAGGCAGAAATAAAGATGTTCTTTGAAACCGATGAGAACAAAGTAACAACATACCAGTATCTCTGGGATGCATTCAAAGCAGTGTGTAGAGGGAAATTTATAGCACTAAATGCCCACAAGAGAAAGCAGGAAAGATCCAAAATTGACACCCTAACATCACAATTAAAAGCACTAGAAAAGCAAGAGCAAACACAGTCAAAAGCTAGCAGAAGGCAAGAAATAACTAAAATCAGAGCAGAACTGAAGGAAATAGAGACACAAAAAATCCTTCAAAAAATTAATGAATCCAGGAGCTGGTTTTTTTAAAGGATCAACAAAATTGATAGACCACTAGCAAGACTAATAAAGAAAAAAAGAGAGAAGAATCAAATAGACGCAATAAATAATGATAAAGGGGATATCACCACCGATCCCACAGAAATACAAACTACCATCAGAGAATACTACAAACATCTCTATGCAAATAAACTAGAAAATCTAGAAGAAATGGATAAATTCCTCGACAAATACACTCTCCCAAGACTAAACTAGGAAGAAGTTGAATCTCTGAATAGACCAATAACAGGATCTGAAATTGTGGCAATAATCAATAGCTTACCAACCAAAAAGAGTCCAGGACCAGATGGATTCACAGCCGAATTCTACCAGAGGTACAAGGAGGAACTGGTACCATTCCTTCTGAAACTATTCCAATCAATAGAAAAAGAGGGAATCCTCTCTAACTCATTTTATGAGGCCAGCATCATCCTGATACCAAAGCTGGGCAGAGACACAACCAAAAAATAGAATTTCAGACCAATATCCTTGATGAACATTGATGCAAAAATCCTCAATAAAACAGTGGCAAACTGAATCCAGCAGCACATCAAAAAGCTTATCCCCCATGATCAAGTGGGCTTCATCCCTGGGATGCAAGCCTGGTTCAAGATACGCAAATCAATAGATGTAATCCAGCATATAAACAGAACCAAAGACAAAAACCACATGATTATCTCAATAGATGCAGAAAAGGCCTTTGACAAAATTCAACAGCACTTTATGCTAAAAACTCTCAATAAATTAGGTATTGATGGGACGTATTTCAAAATAATAAGAGCTATCTATTACAAACCCACAGCCAATATCATACTGAATGGGCAAAAACTGGAAGCATTCCCTTTGAAAACTGGCAAAAGACAGGGATGCCCTCTCTCACCACTCCTATTCAACATAGTGTTGGAAGTTCTGGCCAGGGCAATTAGGCAGGAGAAGGAAATAAAGGGTATTCAATTAGGAAAAGAGGACGTCAAATTGTCCCTGTTTGCAGACGACATGATTGTATATCTAGAAAACCCCATTGTCTCAGCCCAAAATCTCCTTAAGCTGATAAGCAACTTCAGCAAAGTCTCAGGATACAAAATCAATGTACAAAAATCACAAGCATTCTTATACATCAACAACAGACAAACAGAGAGCCAAATCATGAGTGAACTCCCATTCACAATTGCTACAAAGAGAATAAAATACCTAGGAATCCAACTTACAAGAGATGTGAAGGACCTCTTCAAGGAGAACTACAAACGACTGCTCAAGGAAATAAAAGAGGATACAAACAAATGGAAGAACATTCCATGCTCATGGGTAGGAAGAATCAATATCGTGAAAATGGCCATACTGCCCAAGGTAATTTACAGATTCAATGCCATCCCCATCAAGCTACCAATGACTTTCTTCACAGAATTGGAAAAAACTACTTTAAAGTTCATATGGAACCAAAAAAGAGCCCTCATCGCCAAGTCAATCCTAAGTCAAAAGAACAAAGCTGGAGGCATCACACTACCTGACTTCAAACTATACTACAAGGCTACAGTAACCAAACAGCATGGTACTGGTACCAAAACAGAGATATAGATCAGTGGAACAGAACAGAGCCCTCAGGAATAATGTCACATATCTACAACTATCTGATCTTTGACAAACCTGAGAAAAACAAGCAATGGGGAAAGGATTCCCTATTAATAAATGGTGCTGGGAAAACTGGCTAGCCATACATAGAAAGCTGAAACTGGATCCCTTCCTTACACCTTATACAAAAATCAATTAAAGATGGATTAAAGACTTAAACATTTGACCTAAAACCATACAAACCCTAGAAGAAAACCTAGGCATTACCATTCAGGACATTGGCATGGGCAAGGACTTCATGTCTAAAACACCAAAAGCAATGGCAACAAAAGCCAAAGTTGACAAATGGGATCTAATTAAACTAAAGAGCTTCTGCACAGCAAAAGAAACTACCATCAGAGTGAACAGGCAACCTACAAAATGGGAGAAAATTTTTGTAACCTACTCATCTGACAAAGGGCTAATATCCAGAATCTACAATGAACTCAAACAAATTTACAAGAAAAAAACAACCTCATCAAAAAGTTGGTGAAGGACAGGAACAGACACTTCTCAAAAGAAGACATTTATGCAGCCAAAAAACACATGAAAAAATGCTCACCATCATTGGCCATCAGAGAAATGCAAATCAAAACCACAATGAGATATCATCTCACACCAGTTAGAATGTCAATCATTAAAAAGTCAGGAAACAACAGGTGCTGGAGAGGATGTGGAGAAAGGAACACTTTTACACTGTTGGTGGGACTGTAAACTAGTTCAACCATTGTGGAAATCAGTGTGGCGATTCCTCAGGGATCTAGAACAAGAAATACCATTTGACCCAGCCATACCATTACTGGGTATATACCCAAAGGACTATAAATCATGCTGCTATAAAGACACATGCACATGTATGTTTATTGCGGCATTATTCACAATAGCAAAGACTTGGAACCAACCTAAATGTCCAACAATGATAGACTGGATTAAGAAAATGTGGCACATATACACCATGGAATACTATGCAGCCATAAAAAATGATGAGTTCATGTCCTTTGCAGGGACATGGATGAAATTGGAAATCATCATTCTCAGTAAACTATCGCAAGAACAAAAAACCAAACACCGCATATTCTCACTCTTAGGTGGGAACTGAACAATGAGAACACATGGACACAGGAAGGGGAACATCACACTCTGGGGCCTGTTGTGGGGCGGGGGGAAGGGGGAGGGATAGCATTGGGAGATATACCTAATGCTAGATGACGAGTTAGTGGGTGCAGTGCACCAGCATGGCACATGTATACATATGTAACTAACCTGCGCATTGTGCACATGTACCCTAAAACTTAAAGTATAATAATAATAAATAAAAAAGAGTTACATCATCTTGCTACAGGTTTAACTTTCATGTCACGGTGCTCTATGCGGGTGAGGCCCAAGCCTCGAGTCAATCTCTGAGGTCGAGGCCTATAACAAGAGTGCCTCTCACTTTGCTGACAGGATTTTTTTGTTTTTTGTTTTGTTTTGTTTTCTTTTACCTTTTGGCCCAATAAACTTTACTTCTGATCCTTCAGTGTATTCATTAGCCTCTTCCTTCATAATCATGTGACAAGATTCTTGTTTAATCTTAACTAAGGAGAAAGTTGTATAACACATCAGTGTGTAGATGTGGGACTTGAGGTAAGGGAAGATGTAAACCAAAAAATCTTTTTCTCTTTTGTTTGTGAGACTTTTCATTCTTGGACTTCTCCGGAGGGTAGAGGAAACTCTGCATCACCTTACCCAAACAGCCCCAGGCACATGTAGGATGCTTAGTTGAATGGTGGCTCCACATTAACATCTCCTCTGGGCTGAAAAATGCCAGGCATTCATGATGTTTTCACCTTCACTGACCAAAGGATCCAGCCTCACCCAACAGCAATTAAGTTTTTCTCCTTGTTGAAGGAACCCATTTGCAAAAGAATGAAAATTTTCTTTCCTGCCCTATACTTAAGCCTTTTTTTCTTTTCTTTTCTTTTCTTTTCTTCCCACTGTCAGCAATTTCCTTTAAGTAGATTAACATATGAGTAAATGATTTACATATAGTAAAATGTTTTTATTAAAAAATTATAAGAAGGCATGAATAGCTGGGCGCGGTAGCTCACGCCTGTAATCCCAGCACTTTGGGAGGCCGAGGCAGGCGGATCATGGGGTCAGGAGATCGAGACCATCCTGGCTAACATGGTGAAACCCGTCTCTACTAAAAATACAAAAAATTAGCCGGGCGTGGTGGTGGGCGCCTGTAGTCCCAGCTACTCTGGAGACTGAGGCAAGAGAATGGCGTTAACCTGGGAGGCGGAGCTTGCAGTGAGACGAGATTGCGCCACTGCACAGCAGCCTGGGTGACAGCACAAGACTCTCAAAAAAAAAAAAAAAAAAAAAAGGCATGAATATATAAATTCTTGCCTAGGGTAAAACATTTAATCTGAATAAGATAAGATAAAGCTAAAAATACAAACAAGTTGTGGAAGGACTGTAAAAATAAATCTTGCCAAAGGAATTCTTTGTGAACATTAATTAAATTTAAAAAGGTATCATACATTTTTTTTTAGTTGAGCCTTGAAATGAGAGTACAGCAAGGTACTCTAAAGGCACAAATATGTTCTTTAGCAAAATTTGTAAAGAATTATAAAAAGCTTTTGCTTTTTATATTTCTAAGTCATCATTTTGGTTAAATAATTGATTCAACCAAATTAATTAACATGCTTAGTGATATTGTCTCACTGTGGCCAATCTCAGAACATGCTCAGGTGCTTGCTGAAGCCAAAGGGAATACAGAATGGGTAGTAGAAGAAGGTAGTCATCAATACCAGCTACAACCACTTGACCAGCTGCAAAAACTAGAACTTTAACTGTCATATGTATTTTCTCCGTCTTTTGTTAAAAACATTTTACATTTTTGTGTGTTCATACACTCATACTAAGAAAATATCCTTATTTCCTTTTTCCTTTATTATGTGTTATAAGATTTATTAACTTCACCTTAGCATTTAAGTATTATTAACTTCATGTAATTGCATTTGGGTTGGGGATTGGTGCATTTCCTGTTTTATGAAGAATAGTTGTATTATATTAGGCATAATTGTGACCTTATTATTTTCTTTATTCAAAGATTATGTATAATCACAGGAAATATGTATGGGTTCAAGTTGACCAGGGGTGGACTTGTGATAGTTAATACTGAGTGTCAATATGATTGGATTGGAGAAGGAAAAGTATTTATCCTCTGTGTGTCTGTAATGGTGTTGCCAAAGGAGATTAATGTTTGTGTAAGTGAGCTGCAAAAGGCAGACCCTCCCTTAACCTCACTGGGCACCATCTAATCAGCTGCCAGCATGACTAGCTTCCAGGTAGAAAAATATGAAAAGACGAGACTGGCCTAGTCTCCCAGACTATATCTTTCTCCCAAGCTGGATGCTTTCTGCCCTCAATCACAGTCTCCAAGTTGTTTAGTTTGTGGACCTGGATTGACTCTCCTTGCTCCTCAGCTTGCAGATGGCTTATAGTGAAACCTTTGATAATACAGCCATTCAAACTCTCCCCACAGAGAGAGAGAAAGATATTCATCTTAAACTTGGTTTTCAGTTTTAAAGAGCATAGATGTGATGCTTACTCTTTAATTTTATAGCCAAAACCTGTTATTATGTAGTTTTGACAACAGAATGTATACCCTTTCTGTCACTTTCCATAAACTAAGTGTAAAAATTGTGTGTAAAAAGTATTTTGTACAGCACCTGGCTGTTGCACAACAAATATCCTTTTAAAAAAAATTAAACTCAGGCCTTAAAGAATTTTCCTGAAATTTAGATGATTCACATAAATAAGAAAAATATTAAAAAGTCATGAAATAAACCATCATGAAAAATACAAGCAGAAAAAACAGGGACAATTTGAGAAATACTGCAGATCTTTTATAAGCAGGCATTGAATACAACAAAAGTAGCTTAATAAACTTTAAAAAATAAAACAGTAATATTAGAAGTATGGTCAAGTACTAAAAGATAATTATAAGATATTTAAGATAAGTCTGAAAATCTAGATATAAAAGAGAAATTTTAGATGCAATAAATACAATACTTGGAAAGTAAAAAACTCAATAGAGCATTTAGAGAACAAAAGTCAGAAATTTTAATTCCTTGAAAGACCCGAATGAGTAAACTAAAATCAAGAACATAATTTTATTCCCAGAAAAGAAAGAAATATTGATAAAAAATAAAGTGACTGAAAAAATGCCGAAAGATTTTCTAGATCAGAGACGTTCTCCATAAGAAGTTTCTAGGAAAAAAAGGGAAGGTCATTTTTGAAGAAACCTAGTAAAACAATGGCATGTAGTTATCAACATTTTTAATAATAATACATTTTACACAATTTAATGAAGATAGAATTCAAAATATTGTATTAAAGCATACAAAATAAAACAAATCAAAATAAAAACATGAAAATATCTTGAATTCTTCCTAAAGCTGGTAAAGATATACACATATATTTTTTTGAGATGGAGTCTCACTCTGCCACCCAGGCTGGAGTGCAGTGGTGCGATCTCTGCTCACTACAATCTCCGCATCCCGGGTTCACGCCATTCTCCTGCCTCAGCCTCCTGAATAGCTGGGACTACGGGATCCTGCCACCTCGCCCGGCTAATTCTTTTGTATTTTTAGTAGAGACAGGGTTTCACCGTGTTAGCCAGGATGGTCTCGATCTCCTGACCTCCTGATCTGCCCTCCTAGGCCTCCCAAAGTACTGGGATTACAGATATTGATTGGTTTTAAAGATAAGATAGAATTTTTCAACTCATGACAATATACAAAAAGAAAAAAATAAAACACGTTAATACAACCAATTTTAAACAGGAGATGAAGGTGAAACCTAAAATGTAGGGCAAATATAAATAAAAATTTAAAACTATAGACATAAATCTAAATATTTGAATAATAAAAAATTTAACGTCTACTAAAAATATATATATTTTTAAAAACTGGAGCTCTGTGCTGCTTATGAAACACATCAAACACAAACAAGAAACAGTTAATAAATTATTAAATGGATATACCGGTTAAATTCTGTGTCCCTCGTAAGCACTGCATATTTTCAGATTTAAAGAAACAATTAATAATAAAGGAAAAATTATGGTCACCTATATAACAACAAAACTTTCAATAGACTAGGAGTCTAATACAGGGTTAATCTACACTTCTAAAATATATACAGCAAAAATTGATGTGATTATAATAAATTAATTACACTATAATGTAACATTTTAATACAACACTCCAAAATTATTGGTTCAGCAGAGGTTAAACTATGTAAGAGGCTATTCAAAAACTATCTGAGAGGCAGTTATATGATATAGTACCTCATAATGCAAACCGTTCTAAAAATTCAGTGGCATTTAAAGATATACTATGGCATAAAGCAAGTCTCAATACATTTCAAAAGTTCATGTATTATCAAGAACACATTCTCTGATTCCAATACAAACAAGTATAAAAAATACATATTTTTGGCTGAGAATGATGGTTTCCAGGTTCATCCATATCCCTACAAAGGATATGAACTCATCATTTTTTATGGCTGCATAGTATTCCACAGTGTATACGTGCCACATTTTCTTATTCCAGTCTATCATTGTTGGACATTTGGGTTCGTTCCAAGTCTTTGCCCTTGTGAATAGTGCAGCACAATAACATGGCACATGTGTACATATGTAACAAACCTGCACATTCTGCACATGTGCCCTAAAATTTAAAGTAAAATAATAATTTAAAAAAGAAATAAAGAGGGAAACTATCACTAAAAAAAAAATTAAAAAAATAAAAATATACATATTTTTAATCCAGTAAATTGGAAATATATGACAGACTTCTTAACACATAAAAAAACAAAATTTGAAATTCAGAAAGAAATAATACTTCAGAATATTAAGTATCAGTTATTTTGGACTCCTGCTAAAAGTTAGTGATAAATTAATGGGTTAAAATTTTGTATTTCATGAAGAAATAAGAAAAGCTGACACTAATATGTGAATCATTTGTTATAAAGATTTAGGAAAAGAAGAAACAAGTACACCAAAAGAAAAACACATTAATCAGAAAATAATGAACCAAGAGCAGAAATTAATCAAATAGAAACAGAATTAGTTCTTTGAGAAGATTATGAAGCCTACAAATCTCTGACCAGGTTGATTGCAAAAAGAAAGAACCCATAATATCAAGAAACAAAGAGACGACATGTTCAGCTACGCAGTAGAAATTTAGAAATATGGTAATGTTAGAAACATCTTTATGCAAACAAATTCTAATTCTTCAGTGAAACAGAAAAGTCTCTACAAAAATGTCAGTTACCCAAACCGACTCAAGAAGAACTAGAAAACTGCACTTGCTATATCATTTTAAAAAACATGCATCCACAATTAAATTATCCCTATATAAAAGTATTAGAATCAACTGCTTTTGCAGTTGGATTGTACTACACATTCAAGGAAAGAAATGTTTCAGAGAAGTGAAAAAGAGAAGAAAAACAGAAAACCCTAATTAATTTTCAAATGAATAAAGTCTTGTTACTACATTCAAACAGCATGAGAATTAAAAACAAAAAAGATTAATTTTACTTCAGAACAACAATGTGAAAACATAAGCAATATATAAGTGAATTATTTTGTTTTCACACAGCTGTAAAGAAATACCTGAGGCTGGATAATTTATAAAGAAAGGAGGCTTAATTGGCTCATAGTTTCTCCGACTGTGCAGGAGACATGGCTAGGAGGCCTCAGAAAACTTACCTATGGGAGAGGGCCAAGGCAAAGCAAGTGTGTCTTCACATGGCGGCAGGAAAGAGAGTGTAAAGGGGGAAGTGCTACACATTTTCAAAAAACTTGATCTTACTTACTATAATGAGAACATAAACAAGAAGTCTGCTCCCATGATCCAATTGTGTCCGGAATTGGTGGGTTCTTGGTCTCACTGACTTCAAGAATGAAGCCGCGGACCCTCGCAGTGAGTGTTACAGCTCTTAAGGTGGTGCGTCTGGAGTCTGTCCCTTCTGATGTTCAGATCTGTTCGGAGTTTCTTCTTTCTGGTGGGTTCGTGGTCTCGCTGGCTCAGGAGTGAAGCTGCAGACATTGGCGGTGAGTATTACAGCTCTTAAGGCAGCCCATCTGGAGTTGTTCGTTCCTCCCGGTGGGCTCGTGGTCTCGCTGGGCTCAGGAGTGAAGCTGCAGATCTTCGTGGTGAATGTTACAGGTCATAAAAGCAGCGTGGACCCAAAGAGTGAGCAGTAGCAAGATTTATTGCAAAGAGCAAAAGAACAAAGCTTCTACAGGGCGGAAGGGGACCCGAGCAGGTTGCCAATGCTGGCTGGGGCAGCCTGGTTTTATTCTCTTATCTGGCCCCACCCACATCCTGCTGATTGGTAGAGCCGAGTGGCCTGTTTTGTCAGGGCACTGATTGGTGCGTTTACAATCCCTGAGGTAGATACAAAGGTTCTCCACGTCCCCATCAGATTAGTTAGATACAGAGTTTCCACACACAGGTTCTCCAAGGCTCCACCAGAGCAGCCAGATACAGAGTGTCGATTGGTGCATTCACAAACCTTGAACTAAACACAGGGTGCTGATTAGTGTGTTTACAAACCTTGATCTAGATACAGAGTGCCAATTGGTGTATTCACAATCCCTGAGCTAGACATAAAGGTTCTCCACATCCCCACCAGAGCAGCTAGATACAGAGTGTCGATTGGTGCACTCACAAACCTTGAGCTAAACACAGGTTGCTGATTGGTGTATTTACAATCCTTGAGCTAGACATAAAGGTTCTCCAAGGCCCTACCAGAGCAGCTAGATACAGAGTGTCGATTGGTGCACTCACAAACCTTGAGCTACACACAGGGTGCTGACTGGTGTATTTACAATCCCTGAGCTAGGCATAAAGACTCTCCACGTCCCCACCAGACTCAGGAGCCCAGCTGGATTCACCCAGTGGATCCCGCACCGGGGCTGCAGGTGGAGCTGCCTGCCATACCGTGCCGTGCGCTCTCACTCCTCAGCCCTTGGGTGGTCGATGGGACTGAGCGCGGTGGAACAGGGGGAGGTGCTCGTCGGGGAGGCTCGGGCAGTACAGGAGCCCATGGAGTGGGTGGGAGGCTCAGGCATGGCAGGCTGCTGGTCGCGAGCCCTGCCCCGCGGCAAGGCAGCTAAGCCTCGGTGAGAAATCGAGCTCAGCGCTGGTGGGCTGGCACTGCTGGGGGACCCAGTACACCCTCCGCAGTCTCTTGCCCCGGTGCTAAGTCTCTCATTGCCCGGGGCCAGCAGGGCTGGCCGCCTGCTCCGAGTGCGGGGCCCGCCAAGCCCACGCCCACCCAGAACTCCAGCTGGCCCGCAAGTGCCTCACGCAGCCCCGGTTCCCACTTGCGCTTCTCCCTCCACACCTCCCTGCAAGCTGAGGGAGTTGGCTCCAGCCTTGGCCAGCCCAGAGAGGGGTCACAGTGCACTAGTGGGCTGAAGGGCTCCTCGAGTGCCGCCAAAGTGGGAGCACAGGCAGAGGAGGTGCCGAGAGCAAGCCAGGGTTCTGAGGACTGCCAGCATGCTGTCACCTCTCACAATCACCTCCAATCAGGGCCCCCTCCAAAATATAAGGGTTAAAATTCAGCATGAGATTGGGGTGAAAACAGAGCCAAACCATATAAACAAGCAAACAGATGTAGGGTTATACATCATAACCACACATCTTCACTAAATTTATTTCATAGAGAAAAGAGTGGTGCAACTTAAGAAAATCTATTAATTTAATGCATTATACTAATATAAAGTAGTAAAAAATAGAATTACATCAGTGAATACAGAAGCATCAAATAAAACATAGTAGCTATTTATAATAAGACATTAAAGTGCAAACAAGGAAAGTGTTCCTTATCTGAGAGTACTTCCTTCGAAATCACAAGAAAGATTAGAAGGTTAACTATTACCATTTCTCTTCAATATTCTCCTCGAGATTTTTAACATAGTATATGATAAATACTACTAATAATATTTTAGCATGTAAGAATTCTGCAGAAAGAAGTAAAATATTCCTCATCTGTAGATGACTTGATTATCTACATGGACAACTTCAAAGAATATACAAAACATATATATTAACAAGAAAACTTAGAAAATTTTCTAGATTTAGTATTAAGATGTCAAAGTTGAAATTACCTACCTACCTGTAAGAGAAAGCCACAGGAAGGCCAATTACTTGAGTGATAAAGCAGGCTTTACTTCCATTGTGATCTGTGTGATATTGAAGTATACATAATCCTCTCTCAGTATAAGTGGGGGATTGGTTCAGGACTTCCATGGATACCAAAATCAGCAGATTCTCAATTTCTTGGCATTAAATGGTGTAGTGTTTGCATATAACTAGCTGTCCAGCTCCTAAAGAAGGTTAGCGGTGATTCGGTGATTCAGTGCACTAGGCACTAAAAAGAAGGCCTTTCTATTGTCAAAGGAAATTCTCTGGGAGAGAAAACAGCTAAGGCCACATCTAAAGAGGCACCATTGTTACAGCCCACTGGCAAATGCCAGGTACTGCACCCATGTCTGGGACACCACACTATACCCATGAAGAAATTTAATGGGCAGAACAAAAGCATTACAAAAGAGTCTTTCAGGATGGTTACTAGAAAGCAACAAAACTCTTTCTCCCTGAGGCAATGCAATGAAAGACAGTTAAGCCTTTATGTAACTCCTCCTTTGGGACAGGTCTCAATATACAAGTTATTTTCTCAAATCATTTAAGGAAATAAACTATTCTAGACTATAAAGAGGATGTCCAGGACCTGTGAATTTTGTGTTGTAATAATTCAGGAAGCTACTCCATACCCCTACCTCTATTCAAACCTTTACAACATTGAGAGACGTACCCTGGGAAGACTGGCAAATAGAATTTTTTGTTGTTATTTTTGACATGGAGTCTTGCTTTGTCACTAGACTGGAGTGCAGTGGCATGATCTCGGCTCACTGAAACCTCTGCCTCCTGGGTTTAAATGATTCTCCTGCCTCAGCCTCCCAAGTAGCTGGTATTACAAGTGCACACCGCCACCCCCAACTAATTTTTGTATCTTTAGTAGAGATGGGGTTTTACTATGTTGGCCAGGATGGTCTTGATCTCCTGACCTCATGATCCACCTGCCTTGGCCTCCCAAAGTGATGAGATTACAGGCATGAGCCACCATGCCTGGCCAGCAAATAGATTTTTATCACATACAACTGTACAGGGATGGAAATATTCGCCAGTACTTATAGACACCTTCAACCAAGTGAATTAAGGCTTTTCCCCCAAGGACAGAGAAGGCATTATGAGTGTCCAAATTTTTACTTAATGAGATCAACTGCAAAGTTTTGATTACCTGAAATTCTGCGGAGTGATGATAATGGCCCTACTTTCACAGCTAAAGTAACGCAGCAGCTTTCCTTCAGCCTTTGGCATTACTTATCACCTTCATTCCCCCTGGAGTACTCATTCCTCATGTAAAATAGAAAAAGCTAATCATGTTTTGAAAAGACATTAGCTAAGCCATGTCAGGAGACCTCAGAGATCCAAGTTCCTCTCTTAGCCAGTCTTTATACACATAGGAATGATCCTTAAAAAACCTCCCAAACAATCCATTTGAGAGGAGTTATGTGAGGCCATGTTTAGCTTGAGATCTTCTGCTTAATAAAGAGATATATAGTTGAGTCATAAGTTGACAGATATTGTCAACTTAGGCCAGGTTAGAAAAGTCCTCCAAGCCTATGGACAAAAAGTATTGGTCCCTCTTCCAAGGCAATTAACTGACCTCCTATTCACCATGAAACTTCATCTCCCTACATATTTTGAAAGGAGGATCCCCTGAGAATAAATTACAACCAAAATAGAAGAGCCCCCTATCAGGTGTTGTTGACTATCCCAGTCCTTTTAAAATTTAGGGCATACCTAGTTGGATACAATTGTCCAGGAATAAATCTGTTTCTTATAAGTTGCAGGCCCCAGTGGAGGACACTGAAACCTAAATCTAAATTTTTGGAAGATTGCCACTACCTATTTAAAAGAATAAATAGTCACTCATCCAGAAGTAGCAACATGATGTTGATGGTGGGAATAGAGGGTATTCCTACTAGTGAGAGGTGAAGCCAGCTGGACTTCCTGGATTGAGTGGGGACTTGGGGAAGTTTTCTGTCTTACAAGATGTTTGTAAAATGCACCAATCAGTGCTTGGTGAAATCGCACCAATCAGCGCTCTCTGGCTAGCTAGAAGTTTGTAAAATGGACCAATCAGCACTGTGTAAAATGGACCAATCAGCAGGACATGGGCGGAGACAAATAAGGGAA
The DNA here is from genome assembly GCF_000001405.40 of Homo sapiens. Lineage (NCBI taxonomy): Eukaryota > Metazoa > Chordata > Mammalia > Primates > Hominidae > Homo > Homo sapiens. The sequence continues at coordinate 8,295,687 of NC_000024.10, read as the reverse complement.
TAAAAGTTAGCCACCCCAGTCAGCAGCAACCCACTGGTATCCCTTTCCATGCATTGTTCTTTCACTCTATATTACTGATTATTTATTTTGATTCCTGCTTCAATATTCCTTAGCTTAGCATTAATATTGACACTGATCTTATCTTTCCATAAAAGATTTTGTTCAACATTAATTTTTTATTAATAGTTATTTATGAATATTGCACTGAAATATAGCTCCTAATTACTGAGGTTTTTAAATCAATACATCTGAGTAGGGTGGTTTTAGCCTTACAACAAAATTGAGTAGAAAGTACAGAAAGCTCCCTTACACCCTGTCCCCACATGTACAACCTTCCCCACTATCACCATTTCTGATGATGCTGATATGTTTGTTACAATTCATAAACCTACATCAATACATTGTCAGTCAATATATGCAGTTTACATTAGGTCTCACTTTTACTGTTGTACATTCTATGGGTTTTGACAAACATGTAATAAAACATACCAAAATTGTAGTATTATACACAACAGTTTCACCATTGTGTGCTCTAATAATCACCTGAGTTGTGCCTATTTATTCCACCCTTCCTTGTAAACCATTGAGACCACTAATCTTCTTATTTCTTCAATAATTTTTTTCTAGATTGTCATATACTTGAAATACTGTATGTAGCATTTTCAGATTGGCTTATTTCATTGTAAATATACATTTAAGTTCCCTTCATGTCTTTTCATGACTTGAAAGCTCTTTTTGTTTTAGTGCTGCATAGTATTCCATAAATATTCCATAAACCAAAGTTGATCCACTTACCTACTATAGAACAACATCCATATGCAGATTTTGACGTAAACATGTTTTTAATTTAGTTGGGTAAATTCCAAGAAGCAAGACTGCTGGATGAGATCAAAAGAGTTGGTTTAGTTTTGTTAAAACAAAACAAAACAAAGCCTACCAAACATACTTCTAAACTTGCTGTTATCAGGTTTTCAATTTTTGCAATTTTATGTTTAATTTACTATCACATTCACAACTCCCCAATAACATAAGATGTTTATCATCCTTTCATATGCTAATTTGACAACTGTATTTCTTCTTAGCTGAAGTGATCAATCAGATTAACCTTTTTTCACATCATCTATTTGTCATTTCTTTCATCAGTAACACAATTTTGATTACTGTAGCTTTATAGTAAATTTTGAAGTATAATGATGTCAATGCTTCAACTTTGTTCTTCTTTTTTCAATAATAAGTTAGCTATTCTCTATTTTTAATTCTCCATATATGTTTTAGAAATCAATTGGTCAAAATCCACAAAATTATATCTGAGATATTAATTGGAATTGTTTTTGAACCTTCATATCAATGTGGAGAGAACTGACATCTTGGCAATGTTGAGTCTTTATATAAATGAGCATAAATGTCTCATTTCTTTAATATTTTACATATTTTATCCCATGCTTTTAGCTTTTATCAATAGATAGATAGATATAGGTTACATATATAAATGTGTAGAAGACTATCATTCATTAATGTGCTTAACTACAAAATCTTGGCTTAGGTAGTGGCAAGGCTGGAGTGCAGTGGTACAGTCTCAGCTCACTGCAACCTGCGCCTCCCTGGTCCAGGTGATTCTCCTTCCTCAGCCTCCTGTGTAGGTGTGATTACAGGCACACTCCAACACGCCCAGCTAATTTTTCTGTATTCTTAGTAAAGACAGGGTTTCACCTTTTTGGTCAGGCTGGTCTCTAACTCCTGATCTCATGATCCACCCATGTCGGCCTGCCAAAATGCTGAGAATACAGGCATGAGCTACCATGCCCGGCCTCTTGATTTACTAGTTTCTATTGCCTGAAAAATAAGGCATTTTGTGAATAAAAGCATAAAATATGCTGTGATTTGCAAAGTAAATCATATCTGTGATTTAAATTTTATCGCACGCAGTCTCAGTCTCAGATTATGACTCATCAGTGTAGCCAGGGAGCTATATTGAATATCTTTGTGATGCATTCTTTTTATATTTTTATAGCTAAAACAAGAAAATTATTTATCAAATCTAGGCAGAAATGCTGACCTTCATTTATGACAACAGTAATTGTTAGCATTTGGTATTACACAGAGATGTGCATCTGAAAACCAACAGAATGAAATGTTAAACCATACCACATGACAAAATTAAAATAATTCAGAGAAGTGAAAGGTGACAGTTTCTGATTTTAATATAAAAAATAATAAATTACTTCTCAGATGAGACATTAAACCACAAAATTATGATATAATGAAAAAGGTATGAATGATTTTATTAACTATATACCTACTACTTAAAAACAACAATTATCCCAGAGTTCGGAAATGTCTTCATTAGTTAAGTAACCATACAATTTTTCAGTATCCTTTCAATGGGTAAAAATATATGTAAAGTTCCTTACACAAGGTAAAAACTAATAGGATACAAAATAGGACTCCAAATCACAAACATATGCATATTATATATATAACTATATTACATATGTAATATATATTAAATATGCAATATACATTATATATGTGATATATATATATTATATATGTAACTGGTAGAGAGAAGAAATATGCTTAGTCCATGGGCTGCCTTGGAGAATGTGTGACTGAGCTTGGCTTGAGACCTTGGCCTAGGACCAATCACGATGTTTGGCCTGGGACCAATGTGGGGCTAAAATGGTGAGTCACAGAAGCTGCTCAGCCTGGGCCAGGGCCTATCAGGAGCTGCAATGAAAGCTTTACCTGAGATGAGATGTTGGACTGGGACCAATCAGGGAATCAAGGGCTGAAGTGGTTATTCATACAGGCCAGGCTCTCAATCAAAAATAAATAAATAAATAAATAACAAAAAAACAGGAAAGTCTCACTAGAACCCACCAGAGCTCATTATGTTTATGCCCAAAAATGGAAAAGAAACTTTCTTCTGGAAGCCTGCTGATTATACAAAGAGCAAAGGCATGTTATGTCAGACCTTGCTTTATTATCTGAGTGAGCTGGAGGTTTGTGCACATTTTTATCTGAACGTGTCTGAGATCCATTTATCTCTTCAGCCAAAGGCATGTCTTCAGGAAGAACCCCTATGTTGGTTTTCTTCTTGGTGCCTGCAGCTTTTTTTTTTCCTCAGGCTGCTTTTTATGTTATGTGAGAAGGAGACACTGATCCATGAATCATGGGGTCTCTGGGGACCCTTCCACTGCTGTCTACCTAAGGCCACCTAGCTAACTCATCTTAATGTTAATGTCAATTTGAGATCTTTTTAGCTTTTAAATGTAGGCAGTTAGTGCTGCAAGTTTCTCTTTTAACACATTTTAGCTCTGTGTCTCAAAGATTCTGGTATGTTCTCTGTTTGTTCTCATTGGTTTCAAAGAACCTGTTGATTTCTTAACTTCACTATTTATCCGGAAGTCATTCAGGAGCAAGCTATTCAATTTCTATGTAGTTGTGTGGTTTTGAGTGAGCTTCTTAACTTTGATTGTTTTGTTTGATTGTTCTGTGGTCAGAGAGACTGTTATTATTTCAGTTCTTCATTTTTTTTTTTTTTTTTTTTGCATTTGGATAGGACAGACTATACAAAATCAAACACAGTATCTGCAGGCCACATATGTGGGGAACACCAGGCAGCACAACTGTGTGCCCGTGATGACTGTGCCTGTTTCATGGACAGCCTGGCTAAACTCACATTCATTTTTCCTTATTTCACACCAACAGTGAAGAGAAGACGTACTTACTTAGAGGTGACTATAGAATTCAGTAACTGGTCTGGTTCCTTTACCAGAAGAAGAGGAAGTCAGGGCTAGATTTTGCAGGTGGAAATCAGTACATGTGGATGGGGTTTATGGCAAAATTTTTGAATGGCTTCATTTGCTTCTAAATTGTAAGAAAATGTCTCCAAATAAATATTTCCGGATATTTTTCAATCTTATACTTAATGTATTAAAATAATAATAATAATAGTAATCAAGATAAGAGTGAAACTGAAGGAGATAGAGACAAGAAACATCCTTTTAAAAATCAATGAATCTAGGAGTTGTTTTTTCAAAAAACTTAATAAAATAGATACAATGGTACCTAGACTAATAAAAACAGAGAGTAGAAAAAAATAATTCAATTAAAATGATAAACAGGATACCACCACTGACCCACAGAAATGCCAACATCAGATAATACTTTATACACCTCTATGCAAATAAACTAGGAAATCTAAAAGAAACAGATACATTCCTGGACACATAAACCCTTCCAAGACTGGACCAGGAAGAAATTGAATCCATGAATAAACCAATAATAAGTTCTAAAATTGAGACATTAATAAATTGTCTACCAACCAAAAAAAGCCCAGGTCCAGATGGGTTTAGAGTTGTATTCTATCAGCGACACAACCAGGAGCTGATACCATTTCTTCTGTAACTATTTCAAACAATTGAAAGAAAGAGATTTTTTCCTAACTCATTTTATGAGGTTAACAACAATCTGGTACCAAAACCTGGCAGCAATACAACCAAAAAAGGAAACTGTATGTCAATATTCCTGATAAACATTGATCCAAAAATACTCAATAAAATACCGGCAAACTGAAACCAGCAGCACATCTAAAAGCTTATCAACTATAATCAAGTTGGCTGCATCCCAGGACACAAGGCACATTCAACATATGCAATGCAAATCAATAAATGTCATTCATCATAAAAACAGAACTCAGGCCAAAAACCACATGATTATTTCAGTAAGTGCAGAAGAGTCATTTGATAAAATCAACGCCTCTTTATTTTAAAAACTTTCAGTATACTAGGTATTGATGAAACATACCTCAAAATAGTAACAGCCACTTATAACAAAACCACTGCCAATATCATACTGAATGGGGAAATGCTGGAAGCATTCCCTTTGAAAACAGCCACTAGACAAGGATGACCTCTCTCACCATTCCTATTCAACATAGTATCGTAAGTTTGTCCAGGGTAATCGGACAAGAGAAAGAAATAAACTGTATGCAAATAGCAAGCGAGGAAGTAAAAATGTTTCTGTTTGCAGGGAAATTCTTCTATGTCTAGAAGACACCATTTGTCAATGCTGATATACACATACCTTGATTACTGTGCATATCTGTATGTATATGTCTAAATTTAAATACATATGTACACATATGTATATGTGTCCACACAATAGCCATGATTACAGTTGAATATCATAGGGTCACTTAAGCCATCTAACTTCCCTTACCTGTATCTTATCTTTCCAAAAATTATAATCTAAACTGTAATTATCTACAACTAGCTTTGTTCACTCCTAATAAACATCTAAAGTAGTTTCGGTATTGGTAACACTTGGAACTAGAATTGGTGAGATTAGTATTTCTGTATGGTTTTTTATTTAGCTTTACAGTACCTATTCAATACACTGTTTTCAAAAGTGGTGATTGCTTATTTTCTTTTTCCAATCTTAGATTTTGAAAAAAAGTTGAGTTAATTGTAGAATTACATAGAGTTTTAATAAATAATAGAGATAATGTTTTCTCTATTAATCTATTTTAAGAAATAATAGGTAACTTTTACCCAATTTTAAAATTTTAAAATTTTGAAAATCTTAGATTTTCAAATTTCTCTAGTTTTTTAATACTTATTTCTGTATGTGTGTTTAGTTGTCTCTATCTGTGTAATTTATTTATTTTAGTTATTATTACACAGATATAGTCAATTAAACATACATACAGAATTAAGTATGTGTCTGTGTGTCCATCACCATGTTAAGATACAAAACAGTCCCAACATCAAAGGGCCTTTCTGGTTGTCTTTTCATAACTATACCCATTTACTGTCAGCTTTGATATCTCACTGTAACTTTAATGTATAGCATTAAATATAAAGTTGGTGACTTAAAGATTTAATATAATTGCATGTAATGGAGACTTGTTTTGTCTAATCTTATCTGAGCATTTGTTTTTTTACCAAGACCAATTTACATTATGTATTACTACTAATACAACTGAATTTAAGGTATACTGTTTTGTTATTTTACTGTTTGTATCTGGGAATATGAACTTTTTTGTCTCCTTGTAAATTATTTAAACATAGTTTAGTATTCCCTCTCAATGTGTCAATTGACCTTCCATCTTTGTATCTCTTTGTATTACTATTAAACATTTGTTTTAAAAATTATTAATATATTATTATTTAGTGTTAATGTTTTACCACTTCCAGCAAAATACAGAAGCTTCACAGCTAGATAATAACCACTTATCTTTCCAAATGAATGTTAGAATTGTGAAACATATTAAACCCTTTATAGCAAAGTATGCATTTGATGTTATTTTTACTTTCAATACTCATATTTACTTTATTTTATGTTAAACTATCCATTTGATATTCTTTTTACTTTCAATACTCATAGAAGTTTTTAAAAAATAGAAAGGAAAATTAAGACTACAATAATTACCTATCTGCCAAAACTTTCTATAGAATTTAAGAATTCCTTTAGGAGATTCTTTTTTCTTTTAGAATAAATTTATATCCCACTAAGAGATATTTTCACTGAATATCAGAATACTAAGTTATTTATTTAGTTATTCTTTGGTCACCTCTACTTTTGATGTAATACAAGAAATCATTGCAGAATTCAATATCATAAATTCTTCTCTAAAACTTTTAAAGTTGCCTTTTTTAGGTTCAGCTTTGATTTATATTGAGTAAATATTTATATATGATCTAAGGCAGTGGTGTCTAAGCGAGAGAATACAGTCATGAATTTTTAGTTTTCATTTCTGTATGCGCCAGTAAATCTCCTTCCTCATCCCTACCTTCCCTTTGTTGCTGGAGACAGAAACTAAAAAGTATGGTTTCAAGCTGCTAAAAGCCTAAAACAAAATAAAACAACAACAACAATGAAATAAGGTGGATTAAACAAGCTTGTCTAAGGTAAGGTTCTAATGATAAAAGACTAAAAGTTTTTTCTCTAATATCAGGAAAAACTCAGAACTATTACTTTCACTACTTCTTTTTGACATAATAATTGTTATCCTGAAACAATTAGGCAAAAAATAAGAAATAATAGGCTTCCAAATAGAATTGCTAAAGTTTATATACAAAAATACACTGTTAGACACTATTTACAATAGCAAAGGCATGGAACCAATCCAAGTGCCCATCAGTGATAGCCTGGATAAAGAAAATGTGGTACACATACACAATGGAATACTATGCAACCATAAAAAGAAATGAGATCATGTCCTTTGCAGGGACATGGATGAAGTTGGAAGCCATCATTCTCAGCAAACAAACACAAGAAGAGATAACTAAACACTGAATGTTCTCACTGATAAATGGGAGCTGAACATTGAGAACACACATTCACAGAGATGGGAACGACACATACCAGGGCCTGTTGGTGAATGGGGGACAAGGGGAGTGAACTTAAACAATGGGTCAATAGGTTTAGGAAACCATCATGGCACACATATACCTAAGTAACAAATCTGCACATTCTGTACATGTATCCCATTTTTTTTTAGAAGACTGAAAGGAAAAAATACACTGCCAGAATGAAATAATCAAACAAAGTTTCCAAATCAACACCCTCTAATGACTATGAGACTATGTTGGAATTATTATTAATGAATAGAAAGTTTTAATTTAAAAAATAAAAAGTGATAAACTTTTGAAGAAAGTGATGCACAAACTGTAAATGAATATTATGCCAGTGACCAGGAAAAGTAAAATCTGTTAAGAGGGAAAAAATTTATTTTATGTGCATTCTGCCACAATAAAAAAAGCAAATCAAAGTAGAAGTCTGGAAATAAGTAAAAAAATATGATTTTGTCTACATTGAAAACTCTGTAGCTTCAAAGAATACTACAAGAAAGACTTCAAAAGACCGAAGAAAATATTTTTAAATTATTTATCTCTAAAAGTCTACTATGACAAATACACAAAAAAAGATACAAATCAGACCTTCAATGCCATGACCAAAGTCTATTGAAATATGAGGAAATTATTTCAATAGACATTTCCTCAAAAAAGTATAAGCAAATCAAATCTAAAATAAGATAGACTTTACATACTTCAAGATGAATATGCTTAAAAATAAAGTAAGAAAACAGCAAGTTTTTACATAAATGTAGACAAATTACCACCTTCATAATTTGCTGAGAAAAATGTAAAATGCTACAAGAACTCTAGAAAACAATTTGGTGGTTCCTTTACACAGTACTTCTGTGTCTTGGTTAGACACGGAAGTACTATATGATCCAGCAATTGCCTTCCTAGGCCAAACCAAAAAAAGAAAAATGCATCCATACACAAACTTGTCCATGAATTTTCACAGATGCACTATTAACAATAGCCCAAAGATGAAAATCATGCATGACCATCTCACTTATACAGATAACATTTTTGTTTTAGGCTAAAAATAAATTGCCGCACTGTGTTTGGCTTATTAGTACCTCTGTTAGTTAATTCCTCTGCAATCTCATTGTCTGTGGACTCTTTATTAATAGATTTCTGATTTCTCTGCAGATGAGCTAGGGACCTTGTGTATCATGACTAAAGCAATATGCTGGAAAACCTGATGTAGGTTTAAGGTTCAGGTTTTCTAATGAGTGTACTGTAATAAATCTTTGCCTATGCACACAGGAATCCTGAAGACACTGCTTTGATTCTGGACCTGAGGCACCCTGGGACACCACTGAGAGTTGTGAAGGTGTCTACCATTCTACTGCATGAAAGATTCCAGTTGGTGAGTGGGGCAGCAAGAAATGCCCTGGCATTACTACTCCTCCAAGATGTCCAGACTCCCATTCAGCTCTTAGCACTTGGGCTATCTGAAGAACCTGAATAGTTCAGAATGCTGGCTGTCTGTGCCACAAATTATTATATCAGATCAACAGTTACTTTTCTTATTAGGGTAGCAGTTCTAAAAAAAAAAAGGTTCATATTTTTAATATTATGGTTCAAGGAATAACTATAATCACAATTGTACACACTACTAATTATAAGATGTTTAATCCACATCAGAGATGATGGTTCTGATGATAACTTCATAGGAATTTAGATCTGACAAAAGCTATATGAGGAACATTCTCTTTACAGTCTAGTTTTGTAAAGCAATGTAGAGAGGTTTTCCTTCCCACTTCTCTGCTCCCGTCAGAACAAATGAAAAAGTAGGGTTTTGTATTGTTTTGTTTAATTTTTACCTTTTTATGAAAATCTAGCTGAACTTGACTTGGAATTTGGAATTTCATAAGTAAAAATTGACTTGTTAATTTTGCAGAGTGACATTTAAAATGTTATTAAAAAGTGACAAGTCTGTCTACATTGGCTCACCCCTGTAATTCCAGCAATTTGGGAGCTTAAACTAAGAGGACATTTTGAGTCCAGGAATTTGATGCCAGCTTGGGCAATATAGAGGATGTCATCACTAAACAAGTATACAAAAAAAATAGCCTGGGTGGTGTGGCCACATGTAGTCCCATCTATGTCAGAGGTGAGGCAGGAGGATAGCTTGAGCTTGGGAGATAGAGGCTGCAGTGAGCAAAGATTGTGCCAATGCACTCCAGCCTGGGTAACCAAGCAAGAACTTGTATCAAAAAAAAAAAAAAAAGGCCAGAAGTGGTGGCTCACACATGTAATTCCAGCACTTTGGGAGGCTGAAGCAATGGATCACCTGAGGTCAGGAGTTCAAGACAAGTCTGACCATCATGTGGAAACCCCATCTCTATTAAAAATACAAAATTAGCCAAGAGTGGTGGTGTGTACCTGTAATCCCACCTACTTAAGAGGTTGAGGCAAGAGAACTGCTTAAACCCTGGAGGCGGCCGGGCGCGGTGGCTCACGCCTGTAATCCCAGCACTTTGGGAGGCCGAGGCGGGTGGATCACGAGATCAGGAGATCGAGACCATCCTGGCTAACACAGTGAAACCCCGTCTCTACTAAAAATACAAAAAATTAGCCGGGCGAGGTAGCGGGCGCCTGTAGTCCCAGCTACTAGGGAGGCTGAGGCAGGAGAATGGCGTGAACCCCGGGAGGCGGAGCCTGCAGTAAGCCAAGATCGCGCCACTGCACTCCAGCCTGGGCGACAGGGAGACTCCGTCTCAAAAACATAAAAAAAATAAAAAAATAAACCCTGGAGGCAGAGGTTGCAGTGAGCTGAGATCAAGCCTCTGTACTACAGCCTGGGTGATAGAGTGAAACTCTACCTTAAAAAAGAAAAAAATAAGTGAGCAAAAAGAGAATAAAATAGAAAAAAATGTGTGATGTAAAATGTTAACGGTGATAAAATAAACTGAATTTCTGTGTAAAAGTCATAGATACAAGTTTAAAGTGATGATGAGACATAAGTGTTAAGACAAATCATAGTATTATCTCAATACTTACTGTTTAAATGTAATATATGTTCTTTAGGATAGTTACAGTCCATTTGTCTTTCTAGGAGGGACCGATGAGAATCCAGAAATGTGAAAGAGGCAAGTGATGGAAGCTTCCAGCTGTGCCCACCTGTAACCTGACATAGGCAGTTTCATTGTTTGCTTCATTACTCTGGGCAAAGACTCTGATGCAAATGTGGTACAAAATACATTTTTTTCTTACTACATAATAGAAACTATAACTTTGTCCCTATTCAAAAGGGTATACAGCCTGCCTATATGATAAATATAAGTGAATCATTGATCAGTAGGAATACACTTTAAAACTCTTTAATTATGGAACAAAGTCTGAAAAATTTTTGTTGTTAATCTCTGAGTTTTCTTACATGGGTTGTTATCAGTCTCTAGCTATATTAAATAGCTAGTATGCTGCTCTACATACAAATTAGACATTTTATGTAATTCTTTTATTCTAATAATAGTACCTTTACACCTCAGAGCTTAAAATGAGTCCACTTTTTATATTTCCCCAATTAAAATAACTTTTCGAGGTTTAATCTTCAGTGACTTTTTGTAGTAAACTTTTTGAAGGTATTTGATCAGGATGATTTACTTAGGCACTTATCTGATGTCTCCCTTTCTTCTGAATACATCATTTATCAACTTATTAAACCTATGATTAAGAAGTTGGAATAGGGATTTAAATCCAAATTCTGTGTTGGAATTTACAGGAGTCAGTGAGTCCAGGATGTGCCATTATGTGTGGACCAATACCTGGCAATGGTAGTTGGAGACAAATAGGCTTCACCAGTCTCAAAACCCTAGCTACTGCAGTGAGTCCACACTTCTCCTGGATCTTATCTACTTCAGCAAAAGAAGGCCACCCAATAAAACAAGTCCTTGTTTCTTGGGTGGAAACTCCTAAGTCCTTTAGTCTCCTTAAACAGCCAACCACACTGCCACTTTCCTCAATCATAATTACCACAGCCCAGGGACTTTGGTAGCCTAGTGACTATAACTAGTGATGCCACAGTCTGGTCACAATATGATAAAACACCAGAGCATCAACAAGGAAAATATTGACTTAGCCTTTCAAAATCTCTCTAAATGTACCTTCGGTGAATATGGCTTTTCTTCATAACAACTGCTTTCTACCTACTTCCTGAACTAATGCATGGCCTTGGATTGTTTTCATTCTTGAAAATGATTCAAAAGCTCCTATTTAACATGAATGTGAATTCAGGATTTTATTTATCAGCAAACAAAAAAAAAAAATTCAAAATGATGCAAAATACAAATGTGAAATTGTATTTGTGAAATTTATTAGTCTTTCAAATTATATTTTCATACAAACTCACACACAATTTTTTGTATCTGTCTGCATATTCTCTTCAGGTGTGGGAAAAAGAGTATCAGAGTTGTTGAAGAATTTATGAAAAAGAAAATGACAATGCTATACAAGTTTTAACCTATTCATCGTACTGTATTTAGTGAAGGAAAACATTACTTTTAAAATCCTACTAAAGTATTGAGTAAATAAATAAAACATATTATTTCAATAACTCTTAAATACATGTTCATGAAGAAAATACAATAAGCGTTAAAAATATGTAGAAAAACAGATGAGGCCAGGCATGGTGGCTCGTGCCTGTAAGCCCAGCATTTTGAGAGGCCAAAGTGGGCAGAACACTTGAGATCAGGAGTTCAAAACAAGCCTGGCAAATATGATGAAACCCATCTCAACTAAAAATACAAAAATCAGCTGGACATGGGGGCATGCACCTGTAATCACACCACCTCAGGAAGGCTGAAGCAGAGGAATCGCTTGGAGCTGGGAGGCGGTGTTGAGGTGAGCCGAGATCATGCCACTTCACTCCAGCCTGGGTGACAGAGCAAGACTCCATCTCAAAACTCCATCCACACACACATACACACACAGAAATGAAAAATGAAAAAAAAAATCTGTACTAGAAAAAGTACTCACAGGCAAACTCACATATCTAATAGAAAAAAAAGTCCTTTAAACAAAAGTTCCACAAGAACAAATTAAAAATCAAATATATCACCTTGCATATAAATTACAAAAAATAAACTGAAAAGAACCACAAGGGAAAAAAAATTCAAAATTTACAAGCAAGTACTCTAAAAGAAGATGAAAGTCATTCAAAAATTTTCTGGATTCTATGTCTCTATATTGCAAAAATGAGCATAAAATTTGCTAGAAGTAGAACAATCAAAATATATCTTAAAACTCAATAAAAACTTCAAGCCTCACATAAGAATTGCAATCAAAAATGGATGTGTCTGCAGTTTTCCACACAAATCTGAAAAAACACTATTTATTCATACATGACTTCATTGTTTCACTATTCTAAAAAAAAAAACTTCTATATTAATATTAAGTGATGTGACAAAGCAGGTGTTTATCATGATAAGTGACACCTGGTGTCACTGCCAGTGCTCAGGTGGGCCTTAATTTCTAGCCAGTTTCCCACCGTGGACACACACCTAAGGTCTCAGCCATTTAACAATCTCTTTACATTTCCTTCCCTGTGAGCCCAGTGTGGTCCCCAAGATTCCCTGTGTAGTGGCCTCTCTTGTCTGGGTGGGGAAGGCAGTATGAGTGAGGATGGCAGACAGGAGAAAGCATGTCAGGGGAGCCTGCTGTCATTGTTACAGAAAATGATGGGCCTGGGAGAGCCATTCTGGGAGGATGTAGACCTAGACGGGCCTTGAGGGGATATCTGTGTGGAGGGTAAGAGGGCCCTGCTTGAGCCCAAACTGAACCCCAAGTGGTAGCAGGCCTCATGGGAGGGAAGGGAGCCAGTAAGGGATGATGAGACAGCTGGCCCTTGAGCCTTGCTTCTCACCCACTGACCTTAGACACTTATGCCTCTTAGGCAGCTTAAGGTTCCTCAATCCTGAAATGTGGGTGTTACAGTTCCCTGTTGGCCATTTCTCCATGAGCCCATGGATGGCCTGGGATTGCTCACTGCAGTCACCTCCTTGAGGCTTGGATTCTTCATGTGGGGCACAACTCCAGGAATCAAAGGGCCTCTCAGTCCCCAGACCTAGACTGCTCACCTGGCCTCCTCTTTGCTCCCTCTCTAATGGCCTCCCTCCCAAGGGAAGTACTGCAGGGGATTGAGCCACAGGCCCCGGCTGATGATCTGGGGGACTGCAGAAGGGGTTACAAGACAGGTCACATCATGGCTTAAAGCCACTGCCCCAGAGGCCAAGGAATGGCCAGGAAGGTCCTTTCCCATGATGCCCCACTGTGGACCTCACTTCAGCAATCCTTCCAGAACCTGGGTAGCCATGGTCAGCCAACCAGCTGCAGAAGCTCAGGTAGGAGGTATACTGCCTGTGGCTGGAGGATTGACCTTCATGATCCCATAACCACTGGACTGCAGTGGAATGAGACACCCGGTGTCCTGGAGAGAGAAGAGTCAGGAAAGTTCTTTCCAGACCTACCCTCCTACACACCAGCTCCCCTACCATGCTGGGAGGCACGTCTTACTGAGGATGCCAAGGCAATACTCCTGAATGATCATTTCATTGTGGAAGTAAAGATTGTGACAAAAGGAAAACTTCATCCTGATGCCAGTGCCCAGGGTGGCTGAGTTTCTTTCCCTATCTGGCCAAGAAGGAGGAGGATGGACTCAAATGACCATTTCATGTAGCTGTACTAAGGTGGCCTGCTAGCTGGAGTGAAACATGTGTTTCCCCTTCCCAGCTCTGCTGCTTAGACACCCCTGGGCCCCAGAGAGAACTTGAACCTGACCCAGACACCTGACCACTCCCGCATACCCAAGCTCTGCAGCCTGGCCTGCAGATCCATCATGTAGCTAAACAAGACTTCATCATTTGTGAACCCGGCCCATATCTGGGTGTGCCCCACAATCTGCATCTGGTCTAGGAGCCGTCAGATGATTGGGGGGCTCGGGGCGTGCCATGAAACAACCTGCAACTTTGAAAGAGCACAGAGAGTGTGGAGCAGGGCTATCGCCTAGATCTTTGACCCGGCACCACCACTTAGTGGTCCTCTGTCTCTGCCTGGCATGGGGGCACCTTCGTGTCTGTGGTGGTCTTGGTGGCAGGTGGAGCCAGGCCCAGACCACCTGTTCTGAAAAGGGGTGGGCACAGAAGAAGTGGAGAGAGGGTTGCGGGGCAGGGTGCTCTGGTGTGAGGCGGCTGCTTCCTCAGGGTTCCTGAGCTGCAGGAGGCTCTTGTGTGCTGGATCCTGGACAGACTCTGCTGCTGTCAGGACATGCAGTGTCCTCTTCTCATCTCCCTGAAGGGTAGGCGTGTCCACCAGAGGGAATCGCTGTGGGTTAAAGGGGCTGCAGGGCTGTGCCTGGCTCTCCCCACAGGGCTCGTGTGGGTGCAGTGGAGGCTATATATGCTCATGGCCTACACCTCTTTGGGTGTAAGAAGGCCTGTCTGTGGAGCTGGTGCCTGCCTTGTGGAGGACAGCAGCCCCCTGCACCGTGAACCCAAGTCTTGAGCACATTGTGTTTCTAGGGTGAGCCTGTTGGACGCAGACACCGGGAGCGTGGTTCCATGGCTGGCATGGACGTGCAGACTCCCCTTCCTCCAGGGACTTTCCTAGGGAAACTTGCCTTTCAACTTTCTGCTGTGCGTGAAGCGTCGTTTGTGCTGCTGTTCTCTCTTGTGAGTGCTGTGCTTTGGTTCCTGTCCCTACCCTACGTGGCCTCAGGGCACCCCAAAACAAGCTGCCCTCCTATCTGCAGAAGCCTGATCTCGGCTCCCCTCATTGTACCCCATACCTTGACTCCTGGCTGACCCACAGTGCCTATGACCTGGCTCCCCAAAACCCCACATCCAGGAGCTAGAGGCTCACCCCGCTGCTGCCAGCCATCCCGAATTGGCAGCTGCAAAACTATAGCTGTGGGTCAGAAGCTGGAGATACCCTGTGGCCTGGGGCATTTACGGAGCCCAGCTACAAGTGAAGGACCTCCAGCGAGTTCGTTGCGTGCTGGGGCATAATGGGACCAGGACCGGGCTCTGTGCCCGATGGTCCTCCTGCTGCCTCTCCACATCGGCCTCCTCCTTGGCCACCACCTCCATCTCTGCCACAATGTCATCCACCACTAGCACGCCTCCTACCCCAGGTCGCCCCCTCCTGCAGAACCTCCATCGTTAAAACGGTGCCAGGCGTTAAAATGGTCCCACAGACCAACATCTGAGGCGCCCACCTAACGCCCCTGTCACCCATAGACTCTGCGGGCCTCTTTCAGGAGGCCCGTGGGCCTCGCCCAGCTGAGAATCACGTCTCACACCTACGTGGACCCAGGGTTCTTGGGAAGCCCCGCAGGACCCACAGCCCGCCGCCATCGCCATAGGGCCCGGATTCCCTTCAGGGTTAGGTGCACACAGGAGCCCAGTAGCCGGAGGCGGAGGCCCTGGGCGGGCTTCCACAGCCCTCCTAGCAGGTACTGCGGCCGGTGCTGCGAGTGCGAGAGCCTCTGCGCCAGAAAGGCAGTGCACACAGGTCATCGGATGGGCTACCACGGTGGCTAGCCTCTGGTGTGCCCAGGGCATAGGACAAGAGGTCCTTTGGAATGCCACTGGGAGTACAGCATCCTCAGCGTCCTCAGGATGAAGCATGGAAGTCGGAGTCTGTATTTTCCTAGATCTGAAAGAGTCCTTGAGGGGTTTTGGCTTCTGGTGCAGACGAATTCCACCCCAGGAAGGTACCAGACGACTTTCCTCCCACGTCCCCGCCCCGCCCCACTCGCCCCAAGCCACCTCTGCTGCCCTTCCCCAGCAGGCAGCGTTGTTCCCTCTCTCTCGCCTCTGGATCTGCAATGTTCAGTACCATCAGCCTACCCTGCCTAATGAAGTGAGATGTTTCATGTGTTGGTGAGTCAGTGGCTTGCCACACTCAGGATGCCAGTGAGGGTGTAGGTCTTCCATGCTCACAATTCCAAAGGGCTCACAGTCCGCGCGCGTGTGCCTGAACCCACCACTACCTGGCACAAGCAGCTTCTCAGAGGAGTCTTACCGCGGGAGGATGGAGTTGCAGGCCAGCCAGGGGCTGGGCGACAGGGGAGACACCAACCGCCCTCGAAATGATTGGCCCACCTCCAGCGCCCTCGCAATGATTGGCAGCTGGAGGTAGGTGGGCTTTCCCGGCACAGTTTCTGGCGTCCTTCCCACTCAGGCCAGCTCCAAGGGTCTTTCATGCAGTTGGCCCTGTGGGATCTGGAAGCTGGATGCATAGGACCTGAGGGCGGAGCTACCCTGAGGCTGTTTCTGCTACTGAAATTCACGTTTATTTTCTGTTTCTCTGGACAGGTTGGTCTCTCGGCAAGAATAAAAAGCGAAGTTTTGGGATTTTGTCTATAAAACGGAATGGGTTTTCTATGTGTGGATGTTAAAATATTGGAGGAGACAGTGGGGAGAGGACGCCTTAGTCCTCTTAAGAAACTAATTTTTGTTAAATTCATTGATTTTTCTTGAGGATTGTACCTTTGACTGTCGGACATGTCCGACATGTGGGCAAATTGTGGGAGATAGTGCTGAGGCTCCATTGTTCTCATGTGCATTTTTTTTTAAAGCGGTTTTTCTCTGTGAATGTGGTCATCATTCAAAATATAGGCAATATACTTAACCACTGAGATTAAAAACTCGTAGTTTTAGTCAGCAAATGTCACATGTCTGATTTCCTTGGCAGGAATTAGCAAATTTTGAGATACTTTACTGTATGTAGAAGTCTGGGGGCATAAATAATCTCAATATAAATTTGCCTCCGTAAAGCCTGAAATTGTCTCCTTCCTTGTATGACAGTATTTGAAACATGTTTCATGTATGTGTGGCTCCGTGAATAATTTAAACCGAATAAGCGGGTGTAATCGAATTAAATGGAGTTACATAGCCTATAAAGGAAACAAAATAAATGCGCTTAAGTTATTCTATTAACCTGGCACACTGACTTACTCTTTTAATCCTAGCATTTTCGGAAGTGGAGGTAGGAGGATGGCTTGAGTTCAGGAGTTGGAGACCAGCCTGGATAACATTTAATCTATTGCCATTTTCTCATCAGGGACCGGTTTAGTGGAAGATAATTTTTCCTCAGACAAGGGTTGCCCAGGGGAAGAAGGCAGCGAGGTGGACACTTTTGGGAGTGGGGACTGGTGTCTGGGACCCGAAGGGCACGTGGTGGGGCGGGGCTTCCTGTGGGAGCAGTGTGACAGGGGGAAGGTGGGGCAGCGAGGCTTCCATGGGAACAGGGTGGGGCAGCAGGGATGGGGGGAGAGCTAGCAAGGATGGTTGCTGGATGAAGATTTACCACCTCAGGCCATCCTCAGGGGTTACATTCTCCACAGACAGGTATTACAGGTCATTCTCAGGCATCACATTCAGTCCACAGACAGGTACAGGTTGAAGGCCAGGGTTTGGGGATCCTTGATCTATTATACATTTCAAATCACTTAAAGATGGTAAAATATTTAAAATGTTCTCCCCATAAGAACATTTTAATTAGCTTGATTTAATCTTTCATTCAAATATCACACTGGGTGTGGTGATTCACCCTTGAAATCCCATCACTTTGGTAGTCCCAGGCCGGCAGATTGCTTGAGCCCAGGAGTTAGAGACCAGCTTGGGCAATATGAGGAAAACCGTGTGTATTTAAAAAAATTGCCCAGGTCTGGTAGAAAGCACCTGTAGTTTCAGCTACTTAGAAAGCTTAGACGTTGCAGGATCAGTTGAGGCTGGATGGAGAAGGCTGCAGTGAGCAGCGCACTTTGGCAACAGGAGATAAACATCTGAAGAAAAAAGATACGTAAAACATCACACTGTACCTCATAAATATATAGTTTTCAAATAAAATTATTTAAATGGTGGCATCCTTCATATTGCAGCTTAGGAAAATTATTTTTATTATAAACAAGATTTTTTCAGGTACATATTAAAATGTAGCATTTGTCCATGAAGTCAGTGCCCCTTTTTCTCCGTATGTTACAGATTTTGCATATTTAAATTAAGAAATACTAAAAAGATGTCAGCCTCTGGAAGGGAATTTTACTTGAGTTTTCAACACAGTATGAAATAAAATTTTATCTCTTTAGCTTATTTTTATCTAAATATAGATAATTTTTTACCACTTACAGCACAATGGTAGAAGCAGATCATCCAACAAGCTTTTCATTGGTGGCCTCAATAGAGAAACCAATGAAAAGATGCTTAAAGCAGTATTTGGGAAACATGGTACCATATTGGAAAGTAACTCTTACAGCTGTGTGTGTATTTCCATATGTATATTTCAATATGTGTATTTAAAATACGTATAATATATTTTTGAAAAAATATATATTTTTTCATAGTTCAGTG
Source organism: Homo sapiens (assembly GCF_000001405.40). Taxonomy (NCBI): domain Eukaryota; kingdom Metazoa; phylum Chordata; class Mammalia; order Primates; family Hominidae; genus Homo; species Homo sapiens. The sequence continues at coordinate 8,276,972 of NC_000024.10, read as the reverse complement.
TATACATACACTAAAATACTATATCATTTTTAAACTCCTATTTTGAATTATCTATTTGATATTTGGAAAATTCTCATAGCAGCAGGTTAAGGGTCTCTGGTTAGGTCACCTATTACTTAGAAAGGAAAATGAGGACAAGTAAATGTGTTGTGGATTTAGGAAACAAACTGAAATAAAATAGGCTGACTACAGGGGTGACTTAGTATTAAGAATCATAGTAGTGATGTGAAATGCATTTTTTTTTGTTTGATGTAAGTTTCAGTTAGTACCTTGGTGAGCCCATTATGTAAACGTAAAATGTTTTTATATATTTTACTTATTTTGATAAAGGATCAAAGAGCAAGTCCAGAGACTTTGCATTTATTATTTCTGAGAACCCTGCAGATGCTAAGAATGCTGCCAAAGATATGAATGGAAAGGTAAGAGTCCCTTATTAATAATACTCTGTTTTTCAATTAACAATATTTCTAGGTCTTTTTAGTATTACTAAACTTTTGAAGATACTGGAATGCCATATGGACCGAAATGCTTTAGCCATTCTCTTCTTTGTGCCGTATACATCTAAGTATAGTCTAATAAGTATTGGAATTAACATTATATAAATTAATCTATGGTAACCTTTTTCTATGTTTTTATTTCATTGTGAGTGTAAATAGATTTTCAAAGGTTTTGAAGAGCTTTAAAACCTAGCAGGAACCCTCATGTAAATGAAAGCATTAATTCAACAATTATTAAATGCTATTAAAGGAATTAACTTCCAATTCTTGGAATTACTTCTATAGCATATACAAACAGTGGATGGACATCTAGACAGATTCAGAAGAAGGAAAGATTCTCTATCATTTTCTGAAAATATATTCTTGGGGAAGTATATTTAAATAAGACCTTTACATTTAAGGAAGTATTAAGTACTTGAAAATAGAAAATAATATAAGAACAATTGAAGTTGGATAACAGAAGAAATAACTGGCTGGCATTTTTGCCCCATACTTGCTCTTTTCTCCTAAGGACTTTTTTTTTTTCCTGTCACCAGAGTGATTTATGTAACATGAATACCTAATTACTCATTTTCTCAGTGTACTTGAGGACTTGTTTTGACCCAATCAATTGTCTCTTGTGCTACTGATTCTTAAATCTAGGGATTGTGTGTTTATTAAAGCTTTAAACTTTCATGTAATTCTATTAACTACTGAATTCCTTTACATTGTAGTCAAGATCATTCCATTCTGGGCCCTTTAGAGCTTTTTTGCTTTACAACATTATCACAATCCGGCTGGATGTGGTGGCTCATGCTTGTAATCCCAGCACTGGGAGGTGAAGGTGAGCAGATCATGAGGTCAGGAGATCAAAACCATCCTAGCCAACATGGTGAAACCCCATCTCTACTAAAATACAAATGATTAGTCAGCTATGGTGGTGTGTGTCTGTAGTTACAGCTATTTGGGTAGGCTGAGGCAGGGGAATCATTTGAACCCAGGAGGCAGAAGTTGTAGTGAGCCGAGATCATGCCATTGCACTCCAGGCTGGTGACAGAGGGAGACTCCATCTCAAACAAAAAATAAATAAAAAATAATAAATAACATTATCCCAATCTGTAGCTCCTGTTACTCTTTACACTATCTCCAAAATGCTTTTTGAGAATTATCCTTCCCCGTGTATGTCTCACAAATAACAATTTATGCTTGAAGAACAACTTAGATTTCATATTTTCTTCCTCATTGAATATCGTCGGTATATAATATACTCACTGTACCATGTATTAATCTATTGATTGTGAAATTGTCTATAGTGCATATTTAAGTCTTCCTAGTTGTTTTTATTTCTGTTACATCTATCACACTTCCTGGCACATAGCAGAAAGTATATTTTTATTCACTCTTATGAATTAGTATTTTAAGCTGTGATAGAAAGCGAGAGTAGCTTTTGATTCATGGCTTTGTGGTAGGTATGGAGATAATTTTGACTTATGTTTAGTAATCAAGGATAACTTCTTTTTCCCCCTAGTTTTCAACAACAAGAGCAGGTAATTTGTGTAGAGTATTTGTTTGTTTATTTTTGTTTTTTAAGACGAAGTCTTGCTGTATCGCCAGGCTGGATTGCAGTGTAGTGATCTTGGCTCACTGTAACCTCTGCCTCCTGGGTTCAAGTGATTCTCCTGCCTCAGCCTCCCGAGTAGCAGGGACTACAGGCATGTGCCACCACACCCAGCTAATTTTTGTATTTTGAGTAGAGAAGGGATTTCACCCTATTGGCCAGGATGGTCTCTATCTCTTCACATCATGATCTGCCCGCCTCAGACTCCCAAAGTGTTGAGATTACAGGCATGACCCACAGTGCCTGGCCAATGTTATTTCTAAATTACCTCATCTCACATATTTTACTGTGTAAAAATAAATATGATTGTTATATGCACATAAATGTTAAGACAGCCAATAAAGGGGGTTCTTGGAGTTTTCAGGGAGAATGAACAGTTTAAGGAATTTGGCTGACTTCCGAACACTGAGAAGGAAGCAGCCATGCACAAATCTGGGGAAAATATTTTGGGACCAGAAATAACAAAAGAAGTTTCAAGGTAGGAACAATTGGCGATGTGGCTGCAAGGGGTCTTGTGAGGGGTTTAAGATCTTCCCCTAAATAACAAAAGCCATATAATTTTTAAATTGAGTTATTAACTGAACTGTTTTCAAAAATTACTTTGGCCTGTAGAAAAGATTACACTGAAAAATGTTATTGCGAAATTAATTAGGACATTTAAGCATTTCTGAGAAATTTTATGAAGTACTATATTAAGAGTCATTTTTAGGGACATGTCTAAGGCAAAATAAGAAATGAATAAGGCAAGAAACCTTGATGAGATCAAACAAGTATCACAATTACAGAGACATTTTTACAGTAAGTATAGAATTGTAAATCATATAGGGACACTTTATGTAAGTGTTAGCAGATCAAAGAGGAAATTACTCATAATCACTAATGTGACTAATCACTGTGAGTAAGTAACCTTATTTTTTTTTAAATGACACATCCTATCATACACCTTTGGGACACTGAAACTTTTATATCAGTGATGTGAATACAAAGAAGTGGATTATATATTGTAAAAAACAGATATGCCACATTGTTCTATGGAATGTGTGATGGGTTAATCTTTTTTGTCTGAGGTGTTATTCTTTTTAATAATCCAGGAGTTTTCAAGGAATTTGAATAATATAATTTGTGATTGGTCCCTTAATGGAAGGCATGTACTCAGTCAATGTCTCAAATTTGGCATTGGGAAAGACGTGTTCATTTTAGGAGAAAAAAAAAAGTTTTCTTTGGGAGAAAATATCTTGAATTGAACTATAGTCGACGTAAAAATATTTGTAAAATGTGCTTAGATTAAATGTGTCAATGTTATTGATAGTACCCTTAATACTTCTAGTCTTTGGATGGAAAAGCAATAAAAGTAGAACAAGCCAAGAAACCATCTTTTCAAAGTGGTGGTAGGTGAAGACCACCAGCTTCTTTGAGAAACAGAAGCCCTTCAGGAAGTCTGAGATCTGCAAGAGGAAGCAGTGGAGGAACAGGAGGGTGGCTTCCCTCACATGAAGGACACCTGGGTAATGTTTTAAAATATAAAGATAGAACCATAGGACTGAAAGAAAATACACTTGAAGATATCAAAATTTCCCAATTTTATTTATTTCCTTTATGAACAGAAAATTAACTTATTGATAATCACCAAAATTATTTCTAAGTATTAAAGGTGTATTATAAGAATGATTGGACTAATATCTAAAATTTGTTTTAAAATTGTAATAAGTTTGCATTGAAGTAACACACATTTCAAACTAAATTGAGTTTATGAATGCTGATTGCCTGTACTCAACAGGTTTTCTGAAGAACTCATTTATATTCATTATACATTAGAGTTTTCTACTTTGGGGCCTGGAACTTCGTATCATTTGTATTATCAAAGTACGATGGAATATTTAAAACTTTCCAAAAGGAAAAAAGTAACTCAGTACTTAAGATTGATTTTGCAATATTTGTTTTTTTGTGTATACATGTGCAAACATCTGTGCAAATCTATTGCTTTGCGATTTTAATATGGAGAGTTTGTACATTGGCCTGCCATAAAGCATTTTCAATTTAAAAAATGCAGATCTTTAATTTCTGAAAACAGTCTGTGACTCTGGAAAGGTAAAAAACCATTGCTTCACAGATATGTATGTATCTTTCTTTGCTGGAGGATGAGTCACAGAAAATGATATTTATGAGTGATTTACACAATGGAAATGAGGGGTCAATTTTTACATAAGAAAGAAAAACTAACCGTGTATCTAAAAAGAAAAAAGAAAAAAACTATTGGATGGCCTGGGCAAGGTGGCTCACACCTGTCATCTCAGCACTTGGGGAGGATAGGGTGGGTGGACCACGAGGTCAGGAGTTCCAGACCAGCCTAGCCACCATGGTGAAACCTGTCTCCCCTAAAGATCCAAAAAATTAGCCTGGCATGGTGGTATACACCTGTAATCCCAGCTACTCAGGAGAGTGAGGCAGGAGAATCGCTGGAACCGGGGAGGTAGACGCTGCAGTGAGCCGAGATCACTCCATTGCACTCCAGTCTGGGCGATAGGGCAAGAGTCCATCTAAATAAATAAATAATGAATGAATGAATAAATCAATAAATACATAAATAAACTTATTGGTTAACTTGTATTATCTATTAACCAACCATCAAAAATCTATCATTTAATTTCAAATTTTAATAACCAGATGTGTAATTAAGTGAAGTTTTTTTTTAAGTTGAAACTGCAGTGTTTGCTCAATTTTCAGATGCATAGCTTCATGGTTATTTTGTCTCCATTGATCTTGAGGGTGACATTCAATAATACTCTGCCATGTGTGAGAATTTTCATATTCTAACCTATAACACCACCTGGCAATTGGCATATATCTACATTTTTTGTAGATATATAAAGATATATTTTATAGGATTTAATATGCAATTCTTAAAGATTATGAAAATTTAGCATAGTCTAATCTGAAAATTAGTGTTTCACAAGTGAATTTTAAGACTTCTATGTTATGTTAACAAATTTTAGATATCATCTATTTTCCTGATGTGTCACTTTTTGATATTGTAAATATTTGAGTTTCTTTAAATGGAATTTAGTTTATCTTTACGATATGCTTGGAAAATTTTTCCTAACAGAATGATATAAACTCTCATTTATCATTTTTCTTTTAAAATTTTTTCTTTATGTATATTATACTTAGATATTTTACTGATAGATTTCTGCTCCCCGTTTACTCCCCACTTTTCCCACATCTCCCTTTCACAGCAACATATTATGATTCTTGAGTTTCTTTCTAGATTTTCTAGAAGGATTCTTATTACTTGAATTGTACTAACTTCATATAGAAATGTTAATTTTATTAGTTTAGAGAAATGTGAATTTGTAAGATTATAATGGGCAGAAAACTTTATAAACAACTGAAACTTAGCCATTTAAGAAACAGTGATGTTAGTTAACTAAAATATTTTGTTTGAAATACAGATGAGATCAAATTACATGCTTGATCTCAATATGAATTCTTATAGGGAAACCTTTCCAGTTAAAAGAGGTCCATCTTTAGGAAGTGGAGGTCCTCCTCCTAGAAAATCTCTTCTGCTGTCGTAAGAAGCAATAGTTGTATGGGAGGCCAAGACAAATGCTACCTGATAGAAAGACCATAGATTTTGTAGGACTGAAAATGAGCTATTTTAACTGGAGGCTTAGTTTTAAGTTCATCGAATAAAATAGAAGTGACACAAACACAGGCATAATTACTGGTTGATAGCTTTTCTTATAGTTTCTTTCACCCTAGATACATTTCTGTATTTCTTCAGGTTAAGAAATACTCGAGCTTCTCATTGCAGATCAAAGAAGTGACTAGAGTGAGGCCAACATTCCTTATATTCTTGTGTTTGCTAGAGAATTCCCCCTAATTTTTCTGTAAGTTCCTAGCAGTATTTTTTCATGGTATGCTTCCTCATCTAATGAATTATTCCATTTCCTAGGTCTCCTGGTAGTGGTCCCCGGTGTGCCAATCTAAACGTACTTGTTCAGTTTCTTTGATGGGTTGGAGTCTTGCTCTTACAGGTCAAAGTGCATTGGTGAGAATATGGCTTACTAGAGCCTCAAATTCCTGGGTTCAAGCAGTTATCCTGTTTCAGCCTCCTGAGTTGCTGCAACTACAGGCATGCACCAACACACATAGCTAAATTATTTTCCTATATTTTTGTTGGGAGAGAATCTTACTACATTGTCAAAACTAACATTAAGACCCAGGGCTCCAGCAGTCCATCTGCCTCAGCCTTCCACACTGGCTCACAGTGTGAACTGCTGAGCCTGGCCATCCAGCTTCTGAGACCTCAATAATGCTTACGTGCAAGGCACTCTTACTGCTTATATGAGAATTCAAAAGAAATACAAGAATATTTAGCAGAAAAGGAGGCATTGGGCTTAAATATTATTTAAAAATAAATTTAAGACTTGAAATCTAGACATGAAGCCATCCAATTTTCTTAAGTGGATATCACAAAAGTGCAGAGTTGTGAAATATAAATGGATATAAATCAATTATTAAGATGGTACAGGGATGTTTAAATGTTAACACAAGATCCCTAGTGTAAGATTTGAAATTATTTGAGCAGAGAATTTAGAACTAAGCAACTTGAGGTGAGCAGTAGGATTGAATAGAAGTAATTTTTTTTAAATTTTGTTATATTATACTTTAAGTTTTAGGGTACATGTGCACAATGTGCAGGTTTGTTACAAATGTATATATGTGCCATGTTGGTGTGCTGCACCCATTAACTCAACATTTAACATTAGGTATATCTCCTAATGCTATCCTTCCCCACAACAGGCCCCAGTGTGTGATGTTCCCCTTCCTGTGACCATGTGTTCTCATTGTTAAATTCCCACCTATGAGTGAGAACATGCAGTGTTTGGTTTTTTGTACTTGTGATAGTTTGCTGAGAATGATGGTTTCCAGCTTCATCCATGTCCCTACAAAGGACATGAACTCATCATTTTTTGTGGCTGCATAGTATTCTATGGTGTATATGTGCCACATTTTCTTAATCTGGTCTATCACTGTTGGACATTTGGCTTGGTTCCAAGTCTTTGCTATTGTGAATAGTGACAAAATAAATATACCTGTGCATGTGTCTTTATAGCAGCATGATTTATAATCCTTTGGGTATATACCCAGTAATTGGATTGCTGGGACAAATGGTATTTCTAGTTCTAGATCCCTGAGGAATCACCACACTGACTTCTACAATGGTTGAACTAGTTTACAATCCCACCAACAGTGTAAAAGTGTTCCTATTTCTCCACATCCTCTCCAGCACCTGTTGTTTCCTGACTTTTTAATGATCTCCATTCTAACTGGTGTGAGATGGTATCTCATTGTGGTTTTGATTTGCATTTCTCTGATGGCCAGTGATGAGCATTTTTTCATGTGTCTGTTGCCTGCGTAAATGTGTTCTTTTGAGAAGTGTCTGTTCATATTATTCGCCCACTTTTTGATGGGGTTGTTTGTTTTTTTCTTGTAAATTTGATTGAGTTCATTGTAGATTCTGGTTATTAGCCCTTTGTCAGGTAAGTAGATTGCAAAAATTTTCTCCCATTCTTTAGGTTGCCTGTCCATTCTGATGGTAGTTTCTTTTGCTGTGCAGAAGCTCTTTAGTTTAATTAGATCCCATTTGTCAATTTTAGCTTTTGTTGCCATCATTTTTGGTGTCTTAGACATGAAGTCCTTGCCCATGTCTATGTCCTGAATGGTATTGTCTAGGTTTTCTTCCAGGGTCTTTATGGTTTCAGGTCTAACATTTAAGTCTTTAATCCATCTTGAATTAATTTTTGTATGAGGTGTAAGGAAGGGATCCAATTGCAGCTTTCTACATGTGGCTAGCCAGTTTTCCCAGCACCATTTATTAAATAGGGAATCCTTTCCCCATTGCTTGTTTTGTCAGGTTTGTCAAAGATCAGATGGTTGTAGATACGTGGCATTATTTCTGAGGGCTCTGTTCTGTTCCATTGATCTATATCTCTGTTTTGGTACCAGTACCATCCTGTTTTGGTTACTGTAGCCTTGTAGTATAGTTTGAAGTCAGATAGCGTGATGCCTCCAGCTTTGTTCTTTTGGCTTAGGATTGACTTAGCAATGTGGTCTCTTTTTTGGTTCCGTATAAAATTTAAAGTAGTTTTTTCCAATTCTGTGAAGAAAGTTATTGGTAGTTTGATGGGGATGGCATTGAATCTATAAATTACCTTGGGCAGTATGGCCATTTTCATGATATTGATTCCTCCTACCAATGAGTATGGAATGTTCTTCCATTTGTTTGTGTCCCCTTTTATTTCATTTGCAGTTCTCCTTGAAGAGGTCCTCCACGTCCCTTGTAAGTTGGATTCCTAGGTATTTTATTCTCTTTGAAGCAATCGTGAATGGAAATTCACTCATGATTTGGCTCTCTGTTTGTCTGTTATTAGTGCATAAGAATGCTTGTGATTTTTGCACATTGATTTTGCATCCTGAGACTTTGCTGAAGTTATCTATCAGCTTAAGGTGATGTTGGGCTGAGATGATGGGGTTTTCTAGACATACAATCATGTAATTTGCAAACAGCGACAATTTGACTTCTTCTTTTCCTAAATGAATACCCTTTGTTTCCTTCTTCTGCCTGATTGCCCTGGCCAGAACTTCCAACACTATGTTGAATAGGAGTGGTGAGAGAGGGCATCCCTGTCTCATGCCAGTTTTCAAAGGGAATGTTTCCAGTTTTTGCCCATTCAGTATGATATTGGCTGTGGGTTTGTCATAGATAGCTCTTATTATTTTGAGATACATCCCATCAATACCTAATTTATTGAGAGTTTTTAGCATGAAGGGCTGTTGAATTTTGTCAAAGCCCTTTTCGGCATCTATTGAGATAATCATGTGGTTTTTTCATTGGTTCTGTTTACATGCTGGATCATGTTTATTGATTTGCGTATGTTGAACCAGCCTTGCATCCCATGGATGAAGTCCACTTGATCATGGGGGATAAGCTTTTTGATGTGCTGCTGGAATCAGTTTGCCCATATTTTATTGAGGATTTTTACATCGATGCTCATCAGGGATAGTGGTCTAAAATTCTCTTTTTTGTTGTTTCTCTGCCAGGCTTTGGTATCAGGATGATGCTGCCCTTATAAAATGAGTTAGGGAGGGTTCCCTCTTTTTCTATTGATTGGAGTAATTTCAAAAGGAATGGTACCAGCTCTTCCTTGTATCTCTGGTAGAATTCAGCTGTGAATCCATCAGGTCCTGGCATTTTTTTGGTTTTTAAGCTATTAATTATTGCCTCAATTTCAGAGCTTGTTATTGGCCTATTCAGAGATTCAATATCTTCCTGGTTTACTCTTGGGAGGGTGTATGTGTCGAGGAGTTTATCCATTTCTTCTAGATTTTCTAGTTTATTCGCATAGAGGTGTTTATAGTATTCTCTGATGGTAGTTTCTATTTCTGTAGGATTGGTGGTGATATCCCCTTTATCATTTTTTATTGCGTCTATTTGATTCTTCTCATTTTTGAGAAGGAGAATTGTAAGATTGCAGACTATACAGAAGAAAGCAAGACAATAAATAAAAGTTCTTAGCAAAGAAGTTTAAGCAGAACAAATTTAAATTCTTACTTAGTCCTCTATCCTCATATGGAGGAAATTGAAAATTGACATTTTCAATTTTATATTTCATATGTGGAGTATTGGTGAAGTTAGATATTTATTGACTGCAGGATGCACAAGAAAATACATTTTCATGGAAAATTAGCCAGTGAACATATCATAGATGAAAGACTGACCTCTAAGGAATAGCATGTGAAGAGAGTATTAAAAGAGAACCTTTTCTATTTTGAAATAGCAACAATGTTGTAATGACCCCTTTAAAAGTATTGCTTATTGCAGTAAAAGTAAATCTTGGCCATCATTAGAAAATCTTCAGTAGTACATTTTAATTTGTCAACATTTAATATACAGCCAACCACTTAGATATAAAGGGGAACTTTTATGTAAAAATTTAGCATGCAGTCATTCAAAGGTAACAGTATTTGTATGTGTGAGATGGATTGAACAGCATGGGAAAATTCACCTTCTTCAGCTGAGAAAGGACAATGTATGTAAACTTTAAAATCAGTGAAGAATTTGATGGTTTTATATGTTTTCCCTGTGTCATTAGTAGTCATCAGTAATTTATATAAAAATGAAAATAATAACTAAGTAATTATTAACTATTACTAATGAACTTTTACCAAAGAATTAACATTTGGTTTCAGCTTTTTTAGAAGAACTGGCCTTGTGGGCTTATCCAAAGCCATAAGAAATATTCACAGTGTCGTGACTGTCTAGTAATTTTGGGAACAAATAATGAAGTCATAGAAGAAATAATTTTAAAAGTTGTTTGAGAGGAGAAAAAATAGTCTTTCAGATTTGGTGTTCATTACATAATGTTCCATTATTTTAATATTAAAAGGCCCATATCATGTGGAAGAGAGAATTATACAGGTCCTCCACTCAGAGAGCCCATCTCTTCTTGGAGAAATGACCATAGGTCACCAAGAAATGATAGTTATGCTAGTAAGGATAGGTAAAGGAAAAAGGAAAAAAAATAGTTGATTTTTTTGTTGTAGTGATGAAATCCACATAACAAAATTAAAATTATAAGATAAACAGTTAAGTGGCGTTAAATACATTCTGTGTTGTGCACTACCTCCATTGAGTTTCAAAACATTTTCATTCCTCCAAACTAAAACTCCAACTACCAGTTAAGCAGTCCCTTTCATTCTCTCCCTTCCCTCAGCTGCTATCAAACACCAATCAGTGTTCTGCCTCTGAACTTACCTGTTGTGGGCATTTAGTGTTAATGGGCTCAAACAATACATGACTTTTTGTATCTGTCTCCTTTCCTTTAGCTTGACATCCTGAAGGTTCATTTACATGGTAGCACTTCACTCCTCCCACAACCTGTTAACCTATTATTTTATTTGGGTTGTTTCCACCACAGTATTTCTTTGCACCAATATTTGCTTGAGCACACTTATTCAATTCTTTGTGTATGTAAGAGTGGAATTCCTTGGTCCTATGGTAATTATATTTCCTTAAGGAACCACCACATTTCTCCATGGTAGCTGCTTCATTTTCCATTCCAACTAGCATTGTATCAGGGTTCTGATTTATCTACATCCTCTCAAACACTTGTTATTTCCAGCTCTTTAAAATGTATTTCTATTCCAGTGTGTATGTGAAGTATGGTACCTCATTATGGATTTGAAATGCATTTTCTGAATCACTGATTATGAGTACCTGTTGCATGAGCTTTTTGGGCATTGGCCTATTTTATTGGAGAAATATCTATTTAGATGTTTGGCCCTTTAATTTTTTTAAGTTTTAAGTTAGTTATGTTTTGGATACTAGAAGTTGAAAATTTTAAATTTGTTGCTTAAACTTATGCACACAGAAATCAGTGAATTTCCCCAGAAACCAGGGATTATGCTCCACCACCTAGAGGCTATACATACTGTGATTATGGTCATTCTAGTTGGGATGAACATTACTCTAGAGGATATAGGTACTATAACATTTTCTGGATTTATCAGATAGATTTCTTAAATGGTTCATTCCGACATTAAGAAAACTTTTTTTTTATGATGGCTATGGTGAGGCTTGTGGTAGAGATCATTCTGAACACCAAGGTGGAAGTTCTTACAGGATGCATTTCAGAGATATGGTAAGAGTCCAGCATGGATTTGTAAATTATAGAATAATATTTATAGACCAGATAATTATTTTAATGAAATTCTAAGGAAAATTATAAAGGACAAATATAACATGTTTAAATATTGAGTATTCTTAACAGTATAAAGCATAGGGAACAGTATGAAGGTGAGAACTTCAGTTCACATTCAGAAAATGTGACTCAACATTGACTTTAGAATGAAATTTGTTAAGCTTCAAAAACTACTCTTACAATTCTTTCAAATAAAACATTGTGACTGTTGCAGGCATAATTAATATTCTGTCAAAAAAAGGAGAGGAAAGTAGATATTTCCAAATAGTACTTTAACTAATTCATGCTTTAGTGATAGCAGTCAAAGTGTTTAAATGTAATCCAGTGTATTATTTTATCAACCATTCCGGGACCTCTCATGGTGCACCACCTGCACAAAGGCCTCAGATGTCTTATGGTGGAAGCAGCTACCATGATTTTGATTTTAACATGTCTAACAATACATGAGATAGATATGGCAGAAGTCGTGAGAGTTACTCAAGGAGCTGTGGTGATTTTTATTCCTGTGGTCGTGAGCACATTGGCAGAAAAGACCAAAGGAATCCACCTTCTCTGGATAGGGTGCACCCTGCTCCTCGTGAAGCATATGGTAGCTCAAGATATGTGGCATCTACAGGAGATGATGGGGAAAGTCGATCTGAAAAAGGAGACCGAAGCAGGTATTAAAGCAAATATTCAAAATAATAGGTATTGCATACCAAATCTTGTTTGCAAATTGAAAATTGAAATGTTATTTCTGCATTGTTACCTGTGTACCACTTAAAGAAAAATGTTGGTTTTGTGGAGATAGGTAGATACTAACTTGCTCCATGAATTTTTTGAGGTATTCAAAGGAAAATGAATTTTTTCAAAGTAATTTAATACTTGCTAATGCTATTTGAAAACTATCTGTTTAGATGTAATATCGACATTAAAATTTTCAAAATAAAATTTTACATGTGATGCAAAATGCCTGATGTTATTGCTTAGCTACCTATGTTTAAAAGCAAATTCAATAGGAAAGTAAATTGTGTTGTTTGTTGAACATTTTCCTTTGTTTCTTTGAACATAAGTAGATACAAAATTAGGCATATGTTACATCTCCCTTACAAGCTGCACAAGTTTTCTAATTAGGCTGTTTCTCCTTAAAAACTTACAAGCTTAAAATGTTTGAGTAGTGTTCAGAAAGACTACAAAACTGTCTGCCTCACCATACAACATTTATCTTTTAGAGGAATAGTACAAGTCAAAGAAATAATTAAATATGGTCAATACTAAAGTTTAAGACATCTGAAACATTCTATTTGAAGCATTCTGTGACTGAAGGGGGATAATTGTAATGAAAAACTCTTTTTTTAACATAAATCAAAATTGAACCAGCTGTTTCTCAAGTGCATAGCATAATGAAATTAAATGTTCCTAGTTTAAATAGTGGAAAGTAAGTGTTTTGCCTTGGGAGGTACTCATGTTAATTTTTTCTTGAAAGTTTTGACAATGGTTGTTGTAAGTCATGGTTTAGTAATAAGTTCGTACAAATAGGAATAATCTAGAATGGTTGGGATTTTATCAATTTTTTTTGAGATGGAGTGTAGCTTTGTCACCCAAGCTGGGGTGCAGTGGTTCCATGCTGGCTTACTGAAATTTCCGCCTTCTGGGTCCAAGCTATCTCCTGCCTCAGCATCCTGAGTAACTGGTATTAGATGTGTATGCACCACAGCTGGTTAATTTTTTGTATTTTTAGTACAGACAGCATTTCACCATATTTGCCAAGCTGTTCTTAAAATCCTGATCCACCCTCCTCAGACTCCCAAAGTTCTAAGATTACAGGCATGAGCTCTCAGCCTATCAGATTTAATAAATGATATAAATGGAAGCACTTTAAGCCTCATACTTTTGGGAAGAGAAGTGTATAAAACATAAAACAACAGCATAAAGTTTCAGACAGGGGATTGCTTAAAGGCTTAAGGCATCATTGAATGATAAAAATAAAAAGATTTGGACCTAAATAACTAAAGCAATTAATTTTCCTGATTATACAACTGACAGAAGTGAAATACATGAAGTTCCAGAAGTTTTACAGTCCATAATTCTTACAATTAACAGACTAATCTGTAAGGAGGAAGTGTTTTCTTGATAAGATTTTGACAAGATCATCAATTTTTATAGTGTAAGGATGGAAATAATTTTAAAGGGAGAAGTTACCAACTTTTATTTTCAAGTGAGTTATTCATGTTATGAAGTTGTGTTTTCATTCACCTATAATGTAGGATTGTGAGGATGAAGTGAAAAGATAAAACTCCCTAGTGTTGTGTATCTTGCTGTCCAGGTATAATGGCTCAGGTCTTCAATTCCAGCACTTTGGGAAGCCAAGGCTTGCAGATCACTTTAGGTCAGGAGTTCAAGACCAGGCTGGCCAAGACCATGAAACCCCATCTCTACCAAAAATACAAAAGTTAGCCGGGCATGGTGGCACACACCTGTGGTAGGTTACAGTTAATTGGGAGGTTCAGGCAAGAGAATCATTTGAACCTGGGAGACTGAGGCTTCAGTGAGCTGATATTGCACCATGCACTCTAGCCTGGGTGACAGAGCAAGACTCCAACTCAAAAATAATTATATAAATCAGCAAATATATAAATAATAAATAAATAGGGTATCCTTCAGTTCGAACACTTGTAATGTCTTTTTTCTTTTTAGAGACAGGGTCTCATTCTGTTGTCCAGCCTGGACAGCAGTGGCACCATGGTAGCTCACTGCAACCTTGAATTCCTGGGTTCAAATGCATGAGCCTTCCATTTCAACCTCCCAAGAAGATGGAATTACAAACACACACCACCATGCCCAGCTTTTGTGTTTGTGTGTGTGTGGTAGAGACAATGCTTTGGATATATTGTTCAGTTTGGTCTCAAACTCCAAGGCTTATGTGATCCTCCCTCCTTGGCCTCCCAAATTGTTATGATTATAGCCCTGAGCCACTGAGTCTGGCATGTCATTTCTTGGTATGAGTGACATTCCACCTTTGCTCTTTTAATTCTTTTGAGATGTACCATAAATCATTATTAAGTGTAGTCATTCTGTGCTTCTTAACACTAGATCTTATTCCTCCTAAGCAACTATAATTTAACCCACCCCATCCCTGTTTGATCTCTTCTTTACCAGTACATATTGCTTGTATCAAAATATCACATGTATGCCAAAAGTATCTACAACTGTTATGTACAAATTTTTTTAAATAAGTAAAAAATTAATAAAAATGTATCTCCAAAAACATGGTAAAATAGGAGGCTCTAATTTGTTCCTCCATCTACAAATGCAACAAATAAAAAGCCATGCCAACATCAATTCCCTATGAGATAAACTCACAAACTAGTTGAGATACTCTTGCACATATGACTATAAAATTACTCACTTAAAAAGAGGTAAGAAAAACTGAATCATGATCTTGTTCTATAGTTTATGTCTGACCCAGTGCCCTAGAATCAATAGGTATCTGTTATTTCACAGCTTCTCTCAGAGAACTGAAATATTAAACCACATATGTAATGCCCCAACTGTTACAGCTCCTTCTCAATGAAATGATTCCTAACTTGCCATTCTCTGGATTCTAACACAGATTGGCATTCATAACTCTCCTAGGACCTCTAAGATAAAAGAGGGATTTAAATAGATATTCAAGCACTTCTGAAACTGTTTCCTCCTGGCTTACTGGATCTCAAGCAGTCAAGAAAGCCCAGCTTCCACTTTGTACCTCAAAAAACTTAGATTGTACATCTAACGCCTTGACTTTTTTTTTTTCTTTTGAGACAGAGTCTTTCTCTGTCACCCAGGCTGCAGTGCAATGGCACAATCTCGGCTCACTGCAACCTCTGCCTTCCAGGCTAAAGTGATTCACCTGCCTCAGCCTACAGAGAAGCTGGGATTACAGGTGCCTATCACCATGCCAGGCTAGCTTTTGTAGTTTTTAGTAGACACAAGGTTTCACTATGTTGGTCAGGCTGGTCTTGAACTCCTGACCTCAGGTTATCCACCTGGCTCAGTCTCCCAAAGGTCTGGGATTACAGGCATGAGCAACTGCACCTGGCCATGTCTTGACTTTTATAGCTTCTGCTCAGTTATCTTGCTTCTAATTCTCCTGACTTTTGGATCTGTCAAGGTCCTCTGAGAGCAGGCACACAGGCATTTCTCATCGGTCTTCATCATCACTCACTCTAGCAATATACTGAGCTACTAAATTTTACTTCCAAGAAGTCAAACTACCCAACTATTGCCCTGACTTCTCAGGTTGCAGCCTAAGAATTTGAATACTAACTTGCCAATGTCTGGAAGCTAATGAAGCCCAGCTTTTTGTAGTCCCAGGATTCTAAAGAGGAAAAAAGGATTGTTTGACAATAACTCTGCATGATTTTTAAACTTTCCTATTGATATAGTTTGGACATTTGTCCCTCCAAGCCTCAGGATGAAATGTGGTCCTCCACACTGTAAATGGCACCTAGTGGGAGGTGTTTGTTTGTGTCATGGGGATGGATGCCTCATAAATGGCTTGGCACCCTTGCCATGGGTAATAAGTGAGTTGTCTACTGTATTTGTTCCCACAATGGAGCTTACATCCAAATAGTTAGTTCAAAAGATTTTCTTCTCCCCTTCTCTTTCTTGCTCTCTCCACATGCCTGTTTTCCTTTTACCTTCTGTCCTGGGTGGAAGCCTCGTGAGGCTTTCACCAGATGCAGATGTTGTCACCACACATCTTTTACAGACTGCAGAACCAGGAGCCAGTGAAAGATCTTTTCTTTATAAATTTTCCAGCCTCATATTCTTTTATAGGAATACAAACAGACAAGACATATGTGTCTGGCTGATAACTTGCCTGTATCAGTAAGCAGTGGAGATCAGCATTCACTATTTCCTGCATTCCACAGAGGACAAAGAGGTGGTTTTCAATTGTCCTGTGAGCTCTCCCTTAAATCCAACCCTTGGCTTGCCCAAGCTTTCAGCTTCTCCATGAAAGCACCCCAACCTTTTAAACTGCACCCTCAGGACTAGTATTTTGTTGTTGTTTTATGTTTTTTGTTTGTTTGTTTGTTTGTTTGAGATTGAGTCTCACTCTTCACCTAGGTTGGAGTACAGTGGCATAATCTTAGCTCACTTCAACCTCCACCTCCCAGGTTCAAGATATCCTCCTGCCTCAACCTTTGAAGTAGCTGAGATGACAGGCACATGCCACCAGGCCCAGATAATTTTTTTTGTTTTGTATGTTTAGTAGAGAGGGCATTTCACTGTGTTAGCCAGGATGGAATTGAATTCCTGACCATATGATATGCCTGCCTCAGCCTCCCAAAGTGCTGGGATTACTGGCATGAGCCACTGTGCTCAACCTGTAACAGTCTTTTAAATTGTCTGTTTCTAGGGTCTGATGTGGCAGAATAGGCATTCTGTGATTCTGTTAATTTCCTCCCTCTCCGCAAAAAAAACTCAATTCAACTATCCTTAGATAAGGACACCTTAGTGAATGATTCTGTAACTTCAGATTGAATCTATGACACCTTTTTTGACTGTAGAACTGAGAATAGCCACACACATAGGATAAAAGATCAGTTTTAACTTGATGATTTTTCTCCTCCCCAAGCCAGCACAGTGTTGCATACAAAAAATTTCGCTGGACTCAGTTTCTTCAGAGAGGGGAAAGTCGAAAGTGTATCAGCCATTTCTTTTCCATTTTGCAATTCTTCACATGATGTTCTTTCTAGTCTTACCCTGTGGGAAACATTAGGGGTGTCAGACAACTGGGGTCAGTTAGAAACAAACTACAGGGATGGGGCTCACAGTGACTGTAACACTAATCTTACTGGTGGCTTTGCATTCTAGCCAGCAGAGGTGCACCACCAGAGAAACTAGGCAACAGCATCATTCTGCAGCAACCAACCATGGTTGATGCATCTGCCAGGCTCAAATCACTGGCCAACTTCCAAATCCCACCCTGGTTTTCTCTGCAAAACTTCCAAGGCTGTGACAAAGAGGCAGCTTGGTGATTATCCACAGAAGCGGCATGTGACCCCACCTAATGCTAGCTTCCATACTTTTGACCATCCTAGCCCTGTGTACTCTACCCTCCCCAGGCTGAAAAATAGAGACAATTTAGTGGTTAAGGATGAAGTTCCTTGACCTACCTGGACCCAGTGGGCAAGTAGCTTATGTAATAAGGCTTGGTACCCCTGGAAGAAAGTTCACTTCGGATATACCTAATGGAAATCACTGGGGCGTTAGAATCTCTAAAGCACATGATTTATTGAGAAACAGAGAATTCCAGTCTCAGCTCCATCTCCTGCCACTGCTGCTGGGAAGCAACTACCCTGCTGGGGAACATGCCAGTCTGAGCCAATGAATGTAGTCTATCCAGGCTCTGTCCAGCAGAAAATGTATCTAGACTCTCCAGCCTCTGTCCCCTATGCGGGGGACCCACTTTCAGCTCTGGCCCTTCTACTTTAGTCAGGGAACTACATAATCTTTGAGAAACTTTCTGGGCAACATGCAACTTTCTTAGTAGAGATGAGGCTCTAAATGATCTGTTTAACAGCAGATGCCAAGGGAGCTGATTTTCAGCCCCATGCCCTCCTGCTGCAGGCAGAAAACTAGCCCATCTGTACAGAGACCTTCCAGTAACCACTGCAGACAAAATTAGAGGCATGCCTTGTAATTCTGTTCGACAACAGAATCTAAGTGGACCCAGTCTCAGCTCTAGCCTTTCCAATTTCAATTTCTGAAATGGAATCAGTAATAAATAACCCACCAGCCAAAAATAAAATAAAAATAAAATAAAATAAAATATAAAATGAAATAAAATAAAATAAAATAAAATAAAATAAAATAAAATAAAATAAAAAACGGCCCAGGAACCGATAGATTCAGAATAATTTCTACCAGATCTACAAACAGCTGCATCATATTCCATTGTGTGAGTGATCCTAGTTTGTTCAACCGGTTATGTATACATGCTTACACACACACACACACAACAGGACACACCTATGTTTCACGTTCTCTCAAAATGCTGCAATAGAAATACCAAGCTGGTCTCTCATATCATCTGAATTATCACTGGGGAAGGACCCGCTCCTTTGCCTGCATTACATTGTTGCCAGCAGCCTTGTCCACAATGGAAGTTTTTCAGAGGTTTCTTACAACTCTCTAGAGAACCTGCAATTATGTTTATTTATATGGTTTACAGTATCTTCATTACCCTTTATCTCTAAACTTGAGGCTGGGTAAAATGGCTCAAGCCTGTAATTTCAGTACTTTGGGAGGCTGATGTTGGAGGATCCTCTGAGCCCAAAAGTCTGAGACTGCAGTGATATATGATTCAGCCTGGTGACACAGCAGGACGCTGCTTCTAAGTAAATAAATAATAAAAATACTACTGATAGTAATATTTTTGTTTTATAGTTTGGAAACACAAATTTCCTTGATCAAATATATGAGTATTTGATAGTCACTAACACACACATTTGCTTGTGAATGGGAACCAATGCAGGAAAGCAGTGGGAGTGGATGCTGTTTCCCCTTGATCTCTGAACACATGTATACTGTGATGATAAGGGGTGAGTTTTGACAAGGAAGGCATTCTGCCAGAGCCATCAAAACTGTGGAAATAAAACCCTCCAGAAGTCAGGAAACAAAACAGTCTTTACTGGTAATAGTAACTATAAAATCTTTTGCAGATTTGATTTAATTTTAATTTAGTGTAGATTAGGCAGCATAACACAAACTACCCTGCCCCTAATGCTATGTGATTTGATGACAAATGTCAATTAGATTTGGTTGCTGAAAACTACAAGAATCTTACTTAACACCATAGTTACATGAGTAATTTTGACAATATATACCAGCTTATTTTAAAGTTTCAGTTAGTCCACTAGAGACCTAAATATTATTTTAAACATAGGTCAAAATTCATGAGGATAATGGGCAAAATGTCAATTATTTTTTATTCATTTCCTTTTGCTTTTATTCCTTCCTTCCTTCCTTCTTTCCTTCCTTGCTTCCTCCCTCCCTCTCTCCCTTCTCTTCTCTTCTCTTCTCTTCTCTTCTCTTCTCTTCTCTTCTCTTCTCTTCTCTTCTCTCTCTTCTCTTCTTTCTTTCTTTCTTTCTTTCTTTCTTTCTTTCTTTCTTTCTTCCTTTCTTTCATTCATTCTTTCTTTCTTTCATTCTTTCTTTCTTCTTTCATTCCTTTCTCTATCTCTCTTTCGCTTTTTTTTTTTTTTTAGACAGAATTCTGCTCTGTCACCTAGGCTGGAGTGCATTGGAGTAATCTCAGCTCACTGCAACCTCCCCATCCTGGGTTCAAGAATTTCTCCAGTAACACCCACCCAAGTAGCTGCAACTGCAGGCGTATGACAACAATCTTGGCTAATATTTTTTATTATTATTTTTAGTGGAGACCAGGGTTTCACAATGTTTGCTCAGTCTGGTCCTGAACTCCTGTCCTCAAGTGATCCACTCCCCTCAGCCTCTCAAAATGCTGGGATTTCAGGCATGAGCCACAATGTTCACCCAGTTTTATGCATTTCTCTCCTCAGTGATCTCTCCTATCTCTTTTATTATTTTATTTATTTTTATTTCTGAGACAGAGTCTTGCTCTGGTGCCCAGACTGGAGAGCAGTGGTGTAATCTTACTTCACTGCAAACTCTGTCCTTGGAGTTCAATGGATTATCCTGCATCAGCCTCTGGAGTAGCTGGGTTTTCATCCATAGGCAACCATGCCCATCTAGCTTTGGTATGATATCAGACATGGGATCTTGCTATGTTGGCCAGGCTTGTCTCAAACTCCTGATTTCAAGAGATCCACCCACTTCAGCCTGCCAAACTGCTGGGAGTGCAAGTGTGAGCCTCCGTGCCCTGCCTCATATCTGTTCTAAAGCTCAGTTGATTAGTAATATTGTCTTCCTGGAATGCTTTATGTTTAAAAAACAACTATAGTACTATTATTTAGCCCCTTCGGATAAAATATGGTAACACGCAAAATATACACACACAGACACAGACACAAACAGTGATCAAAAGATCAGTGTAGGCCAGGACCTAAAAAGAAAGATGAGTTGCTACAGTTGACTAGAATTAAACCAGATCAGAGTTGACCCATACCCAGCCAAGAGATGTGAACAGGGGCTTTCAAAAACCTCTATCAGATTCATGTTAGATTATTCTACAGCCATAGCAAAGGGACATTACATATCTGTTGTGTTTAGAAGAGCCTTGATGGTTTGACCTTTCCAGGGTAATAACACTCATGACATTGGCCTTTAAAGTTCTCCGCAATTACTCAAATCAGTAGACAACTCAGTTTTTCTAGGTGTCTAAACTGCTTTTCAAAATTATCCAAACTTACTGGCTTAAAATAATGATTGTAGTTTACTAACTGTCAGTCTCTGCAATCTTCCACAGTCTCTCAGCCAAATGACTGTGGTTCAGGGGCACTCAGGAGGATGCAATCTAGTGATGGCTCAGGATGAGGACATTGTCAGGTGTCTTCTCATCTCCCTGGTGCCATGGCTAGCATAACTCACATATCGGGGGCTGGACTGCTGAGATCCTTAGGCATCTTGTTCTATTTCTATGAGTCTCTCCATGGGATGCCCTTTCTGCATAGTGTTATTAGGGTGTTAGACTTCGTCATGTATTGGTGGGGGGCTCCTGAGGGGTTTGTCCACATGAGAGCAGGAGACTTAGTCAGAGCTGCATTTTCTACCCTAGGCCAGAGGTGGCTCAGTTTCCAGAAAATGGTTGCACTGTTTTCCATTCATTAGAAGCAAGCACTGTGTTCAGTCACATCAAGAATATTTTCAAATGGATTTGCAAAGAATTTCAAAATGTGTTTTAGACAATTACAGTGGCCATGCCTAATAATTACTTATTTTTATAAGTGTTGGATGGGTTTTCCCCAGCATAATAGCAGATACAGACTTTTAAACTTGAAACCTATATGTCATAGCTCTGAATATTTTGTTATATGTTGAAATAACTCAAGCAAAAATTGATTTTGAAATGAGAGCTATAAATCAATAAAATAAATGAGATAAACTCATAAATATCTGGATGAAATGCTTATAAAGAGCTAAGCCTTAAAAATGTCATGGGGTCTAATGTGCCACTCTTTTACTATTTCTATGGATATTATTTGGAGAGGAGGACAGGGACTCAGGGGTCTGCTGGTCAGTCTCTGCACCTTGAAACAGGGTGGGGCACAAGGAATAACAGTTCTAATATCGTGTGGTGAAGAGAAGGAGTCCATCTGGGTTAAGGAAGGTGTCACATAATGTGACCTGGAGGAGAGGTGCACCTGGTAGGGTGACCAGGATCAAGGTCTCCAGCACACATTGAAATCCCCCATGCCCAGCTGTGGCAAAGTGAAGCCCTCAGCTTGTGCTGGGCTTCCAGGTGTGTTTGTGAAGCAGCTCCCTGGGCTGGGAAGGATCCGCCAATTCTCTTGCCATGCATCAGGGTGAGGCTTGTGGCCTCTGCTCTGTTCCAGCTCTTTCCCTTCCCATTATCCTGCTGCTGGGTAAGATGGCAGGACCCCGGAATGTAGAAGGGCCCTAGGTTGCTGACAGTGCCTGTGGGTGGCCATATACTGGGAGGAGAGTCCTCACTGAGCCTCCTGTGAGCTTAGAGTCTGGGAAGGAACACTCGTGGGGCACCGGTTGTTCCAGACTCCAGGGGCCCGTCCTGGAAAAGGCGGGGGCGAAGTCTTAAGCCTGTGCATCTGCAATCTAGGTGGAAGAACTGTATGTGCCATGGCTGACATCATCAGGGCAAGACACTCACCGGGAGGAGAACTGGGCTTATGCATTTTACCCTTGTCCTGAAGAGACCCTGCATGCCTGCCTCTCCTGGGACAAGTGATCCTGGGGACCCCCCTCTGGGACCACTCATGACCATAAGCTTAGGATATTGTATGCCTTGCTTCCTACCCGCCCAGGTGAGGCATCCTGGAGAGGATGTTCGGGGCGAAGCTCTTGTGCGCACATGCAGCACTGGTTCGGGATGTCACCGGCCAGTTAGGCCGCTGCTCACCAGGCCCTCTCCTGAGCTCCCACCTGGCTAAGTGATAGGTGTCCCATCTAGATGACCCCGCAGCCCGGGTTTCTCCTCCACCTACAGACCTGCGCTGTCTTGGGGAGAATGCCAGCCTCCCTGGAGACTCAGGCCCTGCCGAACCCACATGCTGTCCTCCTCTCTCATGGGCCGGACACTCTCTAGTGCACAGAGATTTCCGCACAGCGAATCCCAAAGTAACGCAGGCTCCATTGCATCTTCTCTGAATGTCCGCCTTCCCGGACCGAACACACATGAAAACACAGGCAGCTGCTAGGTTTTATTTCTCTCCTTGTGTCATTTCTGGTCAATAACATCTCCTCTAGGTAGCTCTGGCCAGCCATCCTTTCTCTCTTCCCTCTGCCATTTTTGAGAACCATGAGAACTCTTTGCGTCTCCCTACCACGCAGGCTTCACGGGTTCTGAAGCTGGATTACCAAAGCCGGCGGCGACCTGCTTGCCAGCTCAAGAGCTGAGTTTGAGGCACTCCTGTGGGCAAGAGGGTGGGCCCCCTAAAACCAAGGTACACAAAGGTACACAGCCACGGTCAGCCAACCAGCCGAAGAAGCTGTTAGGCTGTGTCCTGCCTGAAGCTGGGAGCTTCTCCTGAATGACGCTAGAACCACTGGACTACGGTAGAGTCAGACGCCCTGTATCCTAGAGCAAGAGGAGTCCGGAAGGCTCATGCCAGGCCTAGCCTCCCACACTCCACCCCCTCAATAATGCCAGGAGGCCCTCCTTACCGAGGATGCCAATGCGATTCTCCTTAACGATTACTTCATTAAAGAAACAAAGCTTGTGATGAAAGGAAAATCATCCTGCTGCCGGTACCTGGGATGGCCGAGTTCCTCCACCTGCCAGGCCAAGAAGAGGACAGACTCAAAGTGACCATTTCATTTAGCTGTGCTGAGGGCCTGCTGGCTGGAGTGAAGCATGCGTTTCCCCTTCCCAGCTCTCCCTCTGAGACACCCCCGGGCCTTAGGAAGACCTCAACCTGACCAGGACCTCGACCCCTCCCCCAGGCTCCCAGGCTGACCTGCAAATCCATCATGTAGCTTACTTAGCAGGACTTCCTCATGGTTTCTGAACCCGGCCGACATCTGGGTGTGCGGCATAATCTGCCTCTGGTCAGGGAGCCTCCAGATGACTCGGTGGCCGTGCCAGGCATGAGCCTTCCCGACTCCTCTGCAACTTTGCAAGAGCTGGGAGAGTGTTGGACAGGGCTACCTCCCCAGATCTTTGGCATGGCACCCTCCACTGGTGGTCTTGTTTCTGTCCGGCGTTGGGGGCACAGTCGCGGATGTGGTGGTCTTGTGGGCGGGTGGAGAGAGGCCCAGAAAGCCTCTGCCAACAAAGAGCGGGGAGCACAAGTAGGCGGGGGATTTTGGTGTGGGGTGCTGTGGTGTGAGGCAGCTGTTTCCTCAGAGTTCCTGAGCTGCACGTGGCCCTTGTGCACTGGGTGCTGGACAGTCTTTGCTGAGAGCGTCCAGGTGTGCGGTCCCCTCTTCTCCTGCTCTCCCTGAGGGGTGGGCGTGTCCACTTGAGGGAAGCGCTGTGGGTAGAAGGGACTGCAGCGCTGTGCCTGGCGCTCCCCACGGGGCTCGTGTGTGTGCAGCGGAGGCGTGTGCGCAACGGAGGTTATATATGCTCAGGGCCTACAGCTCTTTGGGTGCAGCGAGGCAGAGGGAAGAAAGCCTGTCTGGGGAGCTGGTGCCTGCTTTGCAGAGGACAGCAGCCCAGTACAACAGGAACCCACCTTGAGCACCTTGTTTCTGGGGTGAGGCTGCTGGACACAGACATGGGGAGTGGGAGTGGTTCACTGGCTGGCATGGACATGCAGACTCCCCTTCCTCCAAGAACGTTCCCAGGAAAACGTGCCCTTCAACTTTCTGCTGTGCGTGAAGGGTCCTTGGCGCCGCTATTCTTCCTTGTGAGTGCGCAGCTTGGCTACCAGTCCCTACCTCGTGCTACCAGGGCACCCGCAAGCAACCTGCCTTACTATCGACAGGAGCCTGGCCTCGGCTCCCCTCGTTGTCCCCCATCCCCTGCCTTCTGGCTGACCCCGTATGCCTCTGGCCTGGGTCCCCTGCTCCCCGCCCTCTGAAGCCTGAGGCCCACCCCCTGCTGCCAGTCATCCCAAATGGGCAGCTTCAAGGATATGGCTCTGGCCCAGAAATCGAAGATGCCCTGGTAGATAGCCTCGTCCAGGCCGGGCAGGACCCTCTGCCAAAGATTCCACCTCAGCCGCGGGCAGGCCATGAGGCCTGGGGCATTCACGGAGCCCAGCGCCAAGTGAAGGACCACCAGCGAGTATGTTACCGGCTGGGGCATGCTCGGGCAAGGACCAGGCTCTTCACCTGCCGCTTCATATCAGCCTTCTCCTCAACTACCACCTGTACCACCCGCCATGATGTCGTCCACCACTAGCACCTTCTCCTTCCCCAAGAAAGCCTCTGTGCTCCACGCCCTGGCTGCCTTCTCTTGCAGAGCCTCCAATTTGAACTGGGTGCCTCCTTTGGAGGTCCCACTGACCACGACCTGCACTGTCCACTCCACGTCCGTATAATTATATCCTTAAAATATACTTAAAAAAAAAAAAAACAAACTTAAAGGCATTCCTATTTATCTGCATCCTCTCAAGTATCTGTTTTTTCCTGACTTTTTAATGTCACCATTCTAACTGGCATGAGATTGTATTTCATTGTGATTGCAGGATCATGGAAGAAGCTGGAAACCATCAAGTAAGCAAACTATCACAAGGACAGAAAACCAAACATCGCACATTCTCACTCATAAGTGGGAGTTGAACAATGAGAACACGTGGACACAGGGCAGGGAACATCACACATCAAGGCTGGTCAGGGGGAGTGGAACTCAGGGAGGGTTAGCATCAGGAGAAATACCTAATATAATTGAGGAGTTGATGGGTGCAGCAAACCAATATGGCACAAGTATCTCTATGTAACAAACCTGCACGTTCTGCACATGTACCCCAGAACTTAAAGTATAATAAAAAAAGACAAAAAAAAAAAAAAAACTTGAAAGGAAAAATAGCTCTCCAAACCCAAATACTGAATAGTAAATTAGTATCAAGTGGCCTAGAATGTAACTTACATGAAAATGTCACAAACATTCTGCAGATAGTTTCTAAATGCCACGATAAGCCTTGGCAGTCTGCAAGAAGCACAGAAAAACATGGTCCTTGCTCTTCTGAGTGTGTAGTTGTTACAGGCACAGAGAAAAATGAGGAGTAATGAGTGTGATAACACTGTATTTGCTGTAACAGGCAAATACAGGAAATGTAACAATTTTGATAAACAAAATATTAGTAAATGATGAAAACAAAGAAAAAAGAGAGAAAACACTCAATATTTTAATAAATGTTGCCTTCCTCTTCCCTCCAGAAGAAAATTCATGCCTTTGCTTTATTGACTGACATATTCCTAAAGAAATGTAACAGCTCTGATTTGTATTACTGAGTCACATTTTCCTCATTTATGAAACATGAGTTTGAAAATCTGTTTGAAGGTCAAATGATAATATTTGCTGTCACTGTATAAACTGTCAAGTGCTAAACAAATATTTTCTCACGGTGACTTATACCATGTGTATATCACATGGTTAGTGTAGCATTCTCATAAAGGAAACCCTGAAATATGTCTGCTCTCAGTTTTTATTTTTCAACTGTTTCAGTCATTATTATTTATCATATGCTTTATAGGGCTTTTGAATTTTAAAGAGAATAGGTAAAAACCAAAAAGGGAAGGATAATGAAATTGTGAGACTACAGTCATAATAATTTCATTGATTAATTCAATTGTTTATAGAGCTAAATTAGACTATATTTCTCACAAAAGAGTCTCAGAGAAATTCTAAGATGACACACCCACTGTTTGAAATGGCCATTAAGATGCAGTAATTGTTTCATAAATTAAAACAGGGAAAATAGGATTTTTAGTGCTACTTTCTCTCACCAGAAATAATCATAACTTTTAAACTGTTCTTTATGTCAAATTCTTTTTTTTCATTTTTCTACCTCATGTCTTGGATGAGGCATGTATTTTAAAATTTATTTTCACCCTTATACTTCTGTGAGAAACTGTGGACCTACATTCATATCATAAATGTCTTTCAGTTTTACTTGTCTGTTCCTAAAGGTTCACAGAAATAAAGCATTTCATTTATGCTTGTATCTTTCATCAACCTTATTTCAGAAATGGTGCACATTACTGCAGATATCACATGTACAAGTCCAAAGGGAAGAGGAGGAGGAGGAAGAGAAGGAGGAGGAGGAGGAGAAGGATGAGAAAAAGAAGGCAAGCTTTAAAGTCTATACATTTGTAACACTATATTACAAACTCAGTAGTTACAGTGAAATCAAAGAATTTGATTCCACAGTCAATTCCATCTCATACTTAGACTGAAATATGAAACTTCAAAAGGAAAGAAAGATAAGAATTTGGGGCTTGTCAAAATTTTTCTATATAGATAACATTATTGGTGACTTTCTCTTACAAGAAACCATAAACAAAAATGCAAGCTTTGTACAGTGTAAATAAAAATATTTTTTATTTCTGTCAGTTATGACATAGAAGCAAGTAATAAAGTGAAAGCATAATGATAAAATGATATATGAAATCTCTGTGTCAAAAAATTCCATTGAGGCTGTTAATTTTACAAAAACCATAAAGAATGCATCATGAAACTACATTTTACAGTACTTTTTAGTATTTTACTTACATCTTAAATAATCAAAAAATTAAAGAAAAATTTTAAACGTTATTTAGTGCCAATATCATCATTCTACTCAAGTAATCCTTTTGAAATTATTTTAAATAAAACATTAAAAACTAATTGTATTGACTGGTTTCAGCTTTCAATGAAATAATACTTCTGTACTTGTAGTCATGTGATGTATAACTTTCTCCTCACAAAGGAGAAATAACACTGGTTTTATAACACCAGTGTTATTGTTTTCTCTGATACAAACACTGTGATATCTCACAGCTTTACTGTAGCCACACATTACGTGCCTCCAAAGAGTAGGCTTCAAAGAGATGGAAAAATTATATTTGTGATAAAATTCTAGGAAAAGGAATGGTAAAATAGGAGAATAATTTCTAAATTTCTAACTGTTCATCAATGGATTTAGATATATTTAGATATAGACACATATTTGCACACTGCAAGTTGCATATGTGTATATAAATTTAAATGAGATGCCCACAATGTATGGGTTGTGCAATCTTTTAATCAATCCTCAATTGTACATGTGGGAAATTTGATAAAAGTTTAACCTTATCAAATAGTCAATTTGAAGTACTATACTCAATTTGATGTAAAGCCAACAAAATCTCTGTCAACATTTATTTCAATTAATCCAATATGTTAACTGCTGATAGCTTCATTCTCCTTGTCCCCTGTTGGCAGCCTGAAAGTTGATTCTCACTCTAATTCAGAGCTCAGGGTGTCATCCACCAGAGACTATAAACTTGCTGTGGATTGTGACCTCTGACTCCACCACTTTTGTCCTATAACAGTCCTATCTTTGCATATTTAGTGAACTTTGTACAAGGTTAAAACAATAAAAGTGCAGTGAAATGACAGGCCATGCTGTGAAATGTTTCATTGTTTCTATGTCTCTAACTGAACTTTTGTGTTATAGAGGACAAGAAAAACAATTCTATATGTTTCTTAATATCTCGTCCAATGCACCCTTTCTGGTTAATATGCCAAACCCTTCTCTTCAAGGCACTGACATCTAAACACAACTAGATGTATCAAAATCTCTAATTAATAACAATTACGTTAATCACTGTTGCCCAGATCTGGTCTATGACTGAGAAATCCCCAGGTGGAAATGGCTCAAACTACAGGAACGACTATTTTTCAGCATAATTACTGCTGTCATCTTACTGAAAATTATCACATTAGATTGCAGCTTTTAGTTACATAAATCATGTTAATTTTTAATGTGTAGCATTTATGATATTGCACATTTATGATTTATGATATAAAGATCTTTGATAACTTAAATGGTTAAGCTGAGCAATGATTAAAATAACTCAGAGCAATTTAAACATTCACTTACTTACTAGAAGTGCCATACATCATTAACTCCTGATGAAAACAAACCTGGGAAATTGCAAGTGCTAACGTGCTTACTAAAGTATGTATTTCAGGGTATTTTATAAAACTATCCATACCATGTATGATGCCTCACCTGCAAGGATAAAGCTTTAGCATATATATAAAATAAATATCTTTGGTTCTTAATATCTCTCTACATTTGTCTTCATAACCTCAAAACAAAAACACCCACATACTTGACTTTCAGCTGACTTGACTATCTGTTATTAGGGTTTAAGTAAACAGAATAAAGATTTCTAAATTTGGTGACCCAGTATAAGTAATCACACTCTCACCATAAGAAATAATTATTCTCAAGTGCCACTGCAAATGCACAACTGAAAGAAGAAATTAAGTGTAACATATTGCAATATTCTAAAATCTAAAATTTACTCTTTGAGATCTGGTGGCTCATGCCTGGAATCCCAGCTCTTTGGGAGGCTGAGGAGGGAGGGTTTTTTCAAGCCCAGAGTTTGAGACCAGCACAGGCAACACAGCAAGACCTATTACAAATATAACTAATTAATTAATTAATTAAATTGGGCATGATGGCACACATCTGTTGTTCTATTTACTCAGAAGTTCAAGGTTGTAGTTAGCTGTGATTGCACACTGCACTTCAGCGTGGGCCAAGGGACAATACTTTGTCTCTACAAAATAATTCAATATAACAAAACAAAATAAATCAAAATAAAAACACTTTCAGGTGTTTTTTGCAAGTTTGTATAATTGCTCTAAAAGCATAAAGTTCAGCAGTTCATGGGGAATGGGCAGTGAACATTGTTTATATTGTTTTCCAAAAATTAGGATAAATATGTTAGAATATTATATATAAATATCTAATAATCTTTTTTACCATAAATATTGACAAATGTCAAGCCATTGTGTTTATAGACTTTTCCTTCAAAATAGTCACGGTTAAAAATTGGAGAATGAAGAGAAGAGCAATAATTGCAATGCACTCTGACAAGTGTTACAATAGATACAATTTAGTAACTTAGTTGGAGAGGAAGGAAGTTCTTAACTGGGTTTACATGGCTTTTGGGAAACTTCTTAGGGTAGAAACAATTGACCCCATCTGTAAGGATTCCAATTTGCATGAAGCATGTTTGGGAGGGAAACACTGTAGACAAAAAGAAACATTCTTTCTAACAATGATAGATGTACTAACAGTGCACATGATGTCATCTGCCCAATTCTTAGACCATACTAGCTCAATAAATATTTCTTGAATGAATCCATGAATGGAAGATATTTGGGAAAAGGATTCTGGAAGGGATTTTCAAAATCCTATAAAGGGAAGGTAAATAATATGAACTTTATGATTTTGCCTGCTTTTCTTTATGTTCTTGTTATGTTTACTACCACATAAGCTCTGTTTTACTTTTTGGTCTTTTCACAAATATCATGCATGAAACGTTCCTGAGACTGCTTCTCCCTTGATCCTTTGATACTATATTTGTCTCTGGTACTCCTTTGTATCAGGTCCTGGGTTTGTATGCCTACAGATACATCACTCACCTCTCCCCAACACTGTTCTATAATACAGAGACCTGGTCCCTTGGAGGCATGGTTCCTAGGCTCCCATAAAAATTACTTCTGGTTTCAGTTAAGTCAAGGGGTGGCAGTGCAGATATTAGAGAACAAGAAGATGAGAGAAGCCAGTTTGTGTCTTTCTTCTTCTCAGCAAGGGGTATGTTTCCACAGTGATTCTATGGCCTGCAGGACATGCTCTCTGTGTTTCCATTTTCCATGTACTGACCCTAATCCCAGACTGGCTCTTCTAATGCCATTTTCTCCAACTGTCTTCTCTAAAGGATTTGGGTATTATTTTTGGAGTTTTAAATTTTAAAATATTGATATGGAAGGGGGGCAGGGAAGTGCCTGATAGATGATGGTGTGGTTCTTGGCTAGGGATCCACCCACAGGCCTGTGCTCACTGACCTAGGTGAGTACACAAACTTCTGTTTTCTTGCCCAAATTGGTGAGGACATGCAGTTCTGTTTTTGCCCAGTTGTTGCATTTCCCAAGACCACCCTCACCTGCCATACCCCCATCCTCTGCTATAAGAAACCCGGAGACCCTAGCAGGCAGAGGCACTGCAGCAGGACATCAACAGGAACCATCAGCAGAAGAAGACACAGCAACTGGACCTCAAGAAGACACCGGAGGAAGGAGAGCACAAGGACTGAGGCGGCAGCCCATCCACTGCAGAAGAACACGGAGTTCCACAGGGATATGGGAGGAGACCTCTGACCTGCCCCATTCCAAGGGAAAACCACCTTCCCACTAAATCTCCCTTCTGGCTCCCCATCCATCTGCTGACAACTTCCAGTCAATGAAACCTTGCACTTATTCTCCAAGCCCACATGTGAGCCAATTCTTCAGGTACACCAAGGCAGGAAACCCTGGAATCCAGAAAGCCTTCTGTCTTTGCCGTAAGGCAGGGTGTCTAGTTGACCTAACACAAGCCACCTACAGATGGAGAAACTAAATTAACACCATGTAACACATGCCCGCTGGGGATTCAGGAGCTGTAAGCATTCACCCCTAGATGCTGCCTGGGGTCGGAGCCCCACAGCCTGTCCTCATTGCTCGCTCCCCAGCGGGGTATAAGGGACATTTTCTCGTTTCAATATGAGTCTGTTTCCAATGCAGGGTGCTTTCTGCAATACTGCAGTGTTACCTCATGGCATATAGTTGACAAAATAAGTTACAAAGTATAACTAATGTGAGAAGAAAATAAATGGTGGAGAATAAGGAAGAATAATGAAACACTGTGTCAGTAAGGAATTTTTTTTTAACTTCATATAACAGAAGAAATAAGCATGAATTAAACAAACAGGGATTTCTGTTTTTCACATGAGAACCAGCCATAGTTAGGTAGTTGTTGGCTTTGATCAGTTGCTCTGCTGCATGGTAGTAGCAGATCTGCATGGTAGTAGCAGCAATTTTTTTTTGCTATTTTCTCTAAGGTGAAACCTAGCTCAAATCCAACACCAAGTTGGCTACAATTGTTCCCAGCCACCTTTGCCCACACTCTCATTTTTCGAAGTCTTATCAGCTTCTAGTTTACACAGCTACTTTAATGGTTTATTTTTGCTAGTCATGTGAAACTGCTGCTTGAGATTTTCTATTCTCCTGCAATCACCTAGTATTTTTCCTATCTCAAATTATGTGCCATATTCATTTTTTCTCCTCAGGACACTCTAGGATGTTCTTTAGCTGATTTTCTAAAATATACTTTAAGTTCTAGGGTACATGTGCACAACATGCAGGTTTGTTACATATGTACACATGTACCACGTTGGTGTGCTGCACCAGTTAACTTGTCATTTACATTAGGTACATCTCCTATTGCTGTCCCTCCCCCCTCCCCCCATCCCATGACAAGCCCCAGTGTTTTATGTTCCCCACCTTATGTCCAAGTGTTCTTGTTGTTCAATTCCCACCTATGAGTGAGAACATGCCATGGTTGGTTGTCTGTCCTTGCAATAGTTTGCTCAGAATGATGGTTTCTAGCTTCATCCATGTCCTTACAAAGGAAATGAACTCATCATTTTTATGGCTGCATAGTATTCCATGGTGTATATGTGCCACATTTTCTTAATCCAGTCTATCATTGATGGACATTTGGGTTGGTTCCAAGTCTTTGCTACTGTGAATAGTGCTGCAGTAAACATATGTGTGCATGTGTCTTTATAGCAGCATGATTTATAATCCTTTGGTTATATGCCCAGTAATGACATGGCTGTGTCAAATGGTATTTCTAGTTACAGAACCTTGAGGAATCACCACACTGTCTTCCACAATGGTTGAACTAGGTTACAGTCCCACCAACAGTGTAAAAGTGTTCCTATTTCTCCACATCCTCTCCAGCACCTGTTGTTTCCTGACTTTTTAATGATCGCCATTCTAACTGGTGTGAGATGGTATCCCATTGTGGTTTTGATTTGCATTTCTCTGATGGCCAGTGATGATGAGCATGTTTTCATGTGTCTGTTGGCTGCATGAATGTCTTCTTTTGAGAAGTGTCTGTTCATATCCTTTGCCCACTTTTTGATGGAGTTGTTTTTTCTTGTAAATTTGTTTGAGTTCTTTGTAGATTCTGGATATTAGCTCTTTGTCAGATGGGTAGATTGTAAAAATTTTCTCCCACTGTGTAGGTTGCCTGTTCACTCTGATGGTAGTTTCTTTTGCTGTGCAGAAGCTCTTTAGTTTAATTAGATCCCATTTGTCAATTTTGGCTTGGCTTTTGATGCCATTGCTTTTGGTGTTTTAGTCATGAAGTTCTTGTCCATGCTTATGGCCTGAATGGTATTGCCTAGGTTGTCCTCTACAGTTTTTATGGTTTCAGGTACAACATTTAAGTCTTTAATCCATCTTGAATTAATTTTTGTATAAGGTGTAAGGAACAGACCCAGTTTCACCTTTCTACAGAGGGTTAGCCAGTTTTCCCAGCATCATTTATTAAATAGGGAATCCTTTCCCCATTTCTTGCTTTTGTCAAGCTTGTCAAAGATCAGATGCTTGTAGATTTGTGGTATTATTTCTGAGAGCTCTATTCTGTTCCATTAGTCTATATCTTCGTTTTGGTACCAGTATCATTCTGTTTTGATTACTGTATCCTTGTAGTATATTTTGAAATCAGGTAGCATGATGCCTGGAGCTTTGTTCTTTTTGCTTAGGATTTCCTTGGCAATGTGGGCTCTTTTTTGGTTCCATATGAACTTTAAGGTAGCTTTTTCCAATTCTGTGAAGAAAGTCGTTGGTAGTTTGATGGGGATGGCATTGAATCTATAAATTACCTTGGGCAGTATGGCCATTTTCACAATATTGATTCTTCCTCTCCATGAGCATGTAATGTTCCTCTATTTGTTTCTGTCCTCTTTTATTTCACTGAGCAGTGGTTTGAAGTTCTCCCTGAAGAGGTCCTTCACATCTCTTGTAAGTTACTTCACATCCCTTTTAAGCTGGATTCCTAGGTATTTTATTCTCTTTGAAGCAATTGTGAATGGGAGTTCATTCATGATCTGGCTCTCTGTAATAGACGCAGAAAAGGCCTTCGTCAAAAGTCAACAGCCTTTCATGCTAAAAACTCTCAATAAACTAGGTATTGATGGGATGTATCTCAAAATAATAAGAGCTATTTATGACAAACCCACTGCCAATATCAAACTGAATGAGCAAAAACTGGAAGCATTTCCTTTGAAAACTGGCACAAGACAGGGATGCCCTCTCGCAGCACTCCTATTCGACATAGCGTTGGAAGTTCTGGCCAAGGCAATCGGGAAAGAGGAAGAAATAAAGGGTATTCAATTAGGAAAAGAGGAAGTAAAATTGTCCCTCTCTGCAGATGACATGATTGCATATTTAGAAAACCCCATCGTCTCGGCCCAAAATCTCCTTAAGCTGATAAGCAACTTCAGCAAAGTCTCAGGTTAATAAATCAATGTGCAAAAATCACTAAGCATTCCTATACTGCAATAGCTGACTTTTTTAAAACAGCATTGGTAAACCAGTTTCATTTCCATCAAATGCTTCTGAGAATTTCTGAGAAACTTACACACATCACAGCTAAAAACCTGGCACTGGACAACTGTCCACTTAGCTGTTATTGACTTCTTTCTTTAGATGAGATCCCCCAGACAGCAACTGCATGAGTCCCCCCAACTTCCACTAACGACTAACATCCAATGTTTGAAACATTTTAAGTCTTAGATACAGCATAAAGAGTTTATAGGATACAAAGCAACAAATGGGACACATCTATTAAGAAGAAAAACTTCAGCCAGTATCAGTCTTTGACAATAAAGTTAACCATTTTAAGTATACAGTATAAATGTACTTACAAATAAAGTGTATGCCGGGCACAGTGGCTCACACCTATAATCCCAGCACTTTGGGAGGCCGAGGCGGGCAGATCACGAGGTCAGGAGATTGAGACCATCCTTGCTAATACAGTGAAATCCCGTCTCTACCGAAAATACAAAAAAATTAGCCGTGCATGGTGGCTGGCGCCTGTAGTCCCAGCTACTCCGGAAGCTGAGGCAGGAGAAAGGCGTGAACCCGGGAGGCGGAGCTTGCAGTGAGCCAAGATCATGCCACCGCACTCCAGCCTGGGCGACAGAGCGAGACTCTGTCTCAAAATTAATAATAATAATAATAATAACAATAATAATAGTAGTAGTAGTAGTAGTAGTAGTAGTAGTAGTAGTATTAAATAAAAATTAGATTCTGTTTCAGCTCAGTCAAGGGGTGACAGTGCAGAGATTAGAGAACAAGAAGACAAGAGAAGCCAGTGTGTGTCCCTCTCCTTCTGAGCAGGGGATATGTTTCCACAGTGATTCCACGCCTGCAAGACATGCTCTCTGTGTTTCAATTTTCCATGTAGTGACCCTAATCTTAGACTGGCTCTTCTAATGCCATTTTCTCCAATTGTCTTCTCTAAAGGATTTGGGTACTATCTTCGGAGTTTAAATTAAGAAAAAAATATTGATATGGAAGGGGGGATGGGAAGTGCCTGGTAGAGGGTGTGGTTCTTGGCTAGGGCGCCACCTTGAGGCTGTGTTCACTGACCTAAGTGAGGACACACACTTCCGTTTTCTTGCCGAAATTGGTGAGGACATGCGCTTCTGTTTCTTCTTCTTCTTTTTTTTTCCCTTGTTGCATTTTCCAAGACCACCCTCCCCTGCCATACCCCCATCCTCTGCTATAAGAAACCCCGAGACCCTAAAAGGCAGAAACAGAGCAGCTGGACGTCGAGAGGAACCATCAGCAGAAACCACAGCAACCGGACCTCAAGAAGACACCGCAGGAAGGAGAGCACAAGGACTGAGGCGGCAGGCCATCCACTGCAGAAGAACACGGAGCTCCAAGAGGCTGTGTGGGGAGAGCGCTGACCTGCCCGATTCCAAGGGAAACCACCTTCCCACTCCATCTCCCTTCTGGCTCCCCATCCATCTGCTGACAACTTCCAGTCAATGAGTCTTTGTACTTATTCTCCAAGCCCACGTTTGAGCCAATTCTTCAGGTACACCAAGGCAGGAAACCATGGGATCCATGAAGCCCACTGTCTGCAATAAAGCAGGGTGTCTAATTGAGCTAACAGAAGCCGCCTACAGATGGAGGAAATAAATTATCACCGTGTAACAGAAGCCCGCTAGGGATTCAGGAGCTATAAACATTCACCGCTAGATGCTGACTGCGGTCAGAGCCCCACAACCTCCCCTCATTGATCGCTCAGCGGTGGGGGATAAGGGACATTTTGCCCTTTAAATTTAAGTCTGTTTCCAATGCAGTGTGCTTTCTGCAATACTGCAGTGTTACCTCATTGCATGTATTTGACAAAATAAGTTACAAAGTATAACTAATGTGAGAAAAAAATAAATGGTGGAGAATAAGGAAGAAAAATGAAACACTGTCGGTAAGTAATATTTTGGACTTAATGTAACAGAAGAAGTAAGCATTAATTAAACAAACAGATATTTCTAGTTTTCACATGTGAACCAGCCATAGTTAGGCAGTTGCTGCCTTTGATCAGTTGCTCTGCTGCATGACAGTAGAAGAGCTGCATGGTAGTAGCAGTAATTTTTTTTTTTTTTTGCTATATTCTCCAAGGTGAAACCTAGCTCAAATCCAACACCATATTGTGTCCAGTTGTTGCTAGCTAGCTTTGCCCACGCTCTGGTTTTTCAGAGCCGTAACAGCTTCCAGTTTATGCAACTACTTTAACGTTGTATTTTTCCTAGTCATGTGAAACTGCTGCTTGAGATTTTCTTTTCTCCTGCAATCACCTAGTATGTTT
Source organism: Homo sapiens (assembly GCF_000001405.40). Taxonomy (NCBI): domain Eukaryota; kingdom Metazoa; phylum Chordata; class Mammalia; order Primates; family Hominidae; genus Homo; species Homo sapiens. Next base: position 8,240,113 of record NC_000024.10, on the reverse strand, counting down.
CCAGTCTCAAATTATTTGCCTTGCTCATTTTTTTCTCCTCAGGACACTATAGGGTGTTCTTTAGCTGATTTTTTAAAAGAGCATTGGTAAACCAGTTTCATTTCCCTCAAATATTTCTGAGAATTCCTGAGAAACTTCTACATGTCTCAGCTAAAAACCTGGCCGCTGCCCCGTGACCAATCAGCTGCCTGTTACTGACTTCTTTCTTTAGATAAAATCCCCAGAGAGCAACTGTGTGGGTTCCTCCCACCCGACTTCACTAAAGACCAACAACCAATGTTTAAAATATTTCAAGTCTTAGATATAGCATAAAGAGTTTATAGGATAGAAAACAACAAATTAGATACATATATTAAGAAACAAAATTTTAGCTAGTATCAGTCTTTGATACTGGAGAACATCTTTAGAAATTAGCTTGGAAATTTGTTGACCAAAGTCTCAAAGTTCCCAAGGCCAGTCCTTTGGGTTCAACCTCAGACTGCAATAGTGTTTTCTGCAAAACAGTGGCTTTAAGTAGGCAGATAGTTTCACATTTATAATCTATTCCTATAAAGTCTGGTCCTAAAGTAAAAGCAGTGGAGGCATCTCTCCTTTTATGACAAGATTGACCCTCAAGAGGTGATACACTTATAGGAAAAAAAAAAGTTTTTCTCCATTTTTCTTTGGCCATATATTCCCAGAAGAAATTAAAGATATGAATGGTATTTCAAAGCATTCTGGAAAAAATTAAAGAAGAATATATTAAAAAACAAAACTTTAGCCAGTATCAGCCTTTGACAACAAAGTTAACCTTTTTAATTATACCGTATAAACATATTTATGAATAAAGTTTCTTGTATTGTACACACTTTCTCCAGTGATGTCCTAGGCACTCATATAAAATAGGTCATTGATTGAATTACAACTATAACTTCAATGCAAATAGTACAGTAGAAAGATTTTTAAAACAGAACACATGTACACATTGGTTGGTCTTCCAGTTGTACTGTTTCTTTTTATGCGTATGTGTATGTCTATGTAATTTTAGATAGTTATAGAAAAAAGATTTCGGGCAAGTAATTAGAAAGTAACCAGATTTTCTTTGTAATAAAAAGGAAAATGATTAACTTGTATTGAAATTTTAGTTGAACAATAAAACTGTATATGAATTTATCCTGCTCAAGGAAAAGTTGTATTCTGCTTTGCAGATTGAAAGAGATCTTTCCTGAATACTGAATAAGCCAGTGTTGGTATTCACTGCAGAAATAGATTTGTTTTGGTAGACCCCTGTAGCCAGTACCTGCAGAGAAGGAAATCCTGCTGAACAGAATTATAAATTGAATATTAAATATTCTTTCATTTGGGTTAAGCTTTCACATATGATATTCTTTTATATTCAGCCTAATTATGAATGTTTAGTTTTAATATACTTTCCAAAAAACTAAAGTAGTTATAAAATTTAACCAGAGAATTGTATATTCCTCATTTAAAAAGTTTTAGCCTATTCAAAGCTATGAAGTCCATTCTGAAATACCTGAAGATGAGATATGAATTGAATAAGAAAAGAAAATACAGCAGAATGTACCAGATGTTTTTTCTGTGTGCTGGATGTACATATATCTGTTAGCTTTTAGTGGCAGAAAGAGTGCGGTCTACATAATTTTATTCATAATAAATGCCTATGCATCATATATTCACAGATAAATATTATTTCTCTGAAGATTGAAATAGAAAGCTAGGAAAACACAACATGCACATATGCTGAATTACATTTAAGCAAGTGTGAATTATACACTTTAATGATCTCTTCAAGAGGCTTCTTATCACTCTCTCACTGGTTAGTCTAAGGACTAATTAAAGTTCCTAGGCTCTTTCAAGATAAGAAACACTATGTAAGTGTTTCACATTATCATGGTAACACGAGTGTGAGGAATTAGTGATTTGCAACCTCAAAACCTCTTTGAAATGTGTGTCTAGCCTGACTGACAGTTTTTTCTAACAGTGTTTTATGCATTGGAAAGTGCTTATCATATTTGGAGATGAAATGTGCTCCATTGAAATCATGCAAATCTGCAAAATCAATCTTTGTTCTATATGTTAGTAGAGTGATGTTTCTCAAAGTAGAATACAACTTGGGATGTGATTTCAAAGTCAGTATATAACAACGTAGAATTTTGACATCAATTATAACTTGTCTATTATCATTTGATTGACTCAGCTGTTGCTCTCTTAATTAGTGCAACTGAAGTCTAGTTAATTTGCATAAAGGTGGCTATCCCATCTTTTATACTTTTAAAGACAGTCAGGAGACTATTTGCTGTTTCCATAAAGCTTATATAGATTTTATCAGCATGTTAAAATCATGTATGACTGCAATAATGTCAATTCTAAAATGTAACATTATTTCCTTTAATAATATTTTTATTTTATTTTTTATTTCCATTTTTATTATAGATTCAGAGAGTACATGTGCAGGCTTGTTACAAAGGTACATTGTGTGAGGCTGACATTTAGTCTTCTATTGATCCCATCACCAAGATAGTGAACCTAGTATCCAATAGGAAGGTTTTCAGCCCCTGCCCCTCTCCCTCTGTCCCTCCATTGAAGACTCCAGTGTCTATTGTTCTCATCTTTATTTCTATGTGCACCCAAGTTTTAGCTCCTATTTATGAGAATATTCAATATTTGATTTTCTGTTTCTGCATTAATATGTTCAGGTTATTGACCTCCAGCTGCATCCACATTGCTGCAAAGGACATGATTTTGTTCTTTTTTTTTTGGCTGTACTCTATTCCAGGTTCATATGTACCACAATTTCTTTATCCCACCCTCCATGGATGTGCTCCTAGGTTGATTCCATGTCTTTGCTATGGTGATGAATATGAGAATTCTTGTGTCTTTTTGGTAGCTTTCATGATTTATTTTTGTTTGAGCATATACACAGTAAGAGGATTGCTGGGTAGAATGGTAGTTCTATTGTTAGTTCTTTTAGAAATCCCCAAACTGCTTTCCACAGTGGCTGAACATTCTCTTCACCAGTGTATAAGTATTTAATTTCCTCTGCAGCCTTGCCCACCTTCCTTATTTTTTTTTTTATTTTGGCTTTTTAATAATAATAGTTATTCTGACTGGTATGAGATGGTATCTTGTGATTTTGATTTGCATTTCTCTGATGATCAGTGATGTTGAGCACTTTTCTTATATTTATTGGCCACCTGTATGTCCTAAGAAGATATTTTAAATAAACATACAATTATTCCCTCTATTCATAGGTCAAATTCTGGCTATGTTCTTCTCTCTTTTTCCACTACATGATTTTTACATGCATAATGAGTCAAAAATGTGATGTGGTGGTAATACATTTTATTTCATACTTATATATGTAAAATGTTTTTCTTTGAAAGACACCATATTCTCCAATTTTTATTTTTTTTAAATTCCTTGAAAGTGGCAATGGAGACAGGGAAATTTTAAAGCAATTATTTCACAAGGTGATTGCAATTTATACAGAATATTGTTCATTACAGAATTATTTTGTTTTTGAGTAAAATTAAAAAATATATACATAATAAATATCATTTTAACCTGACTTAAAAATAACAGCTATTAATACATTCCTTGTTCTATTTACATTACCTTTGGTTGCAATTGGAATACACCCCATCAGGTTCATTTGTTTTTCTCCATTTCCAGAGGTGCCATTATCATGAACCTGGTATTACCTTCATATTTTTTCATAAATTTATTAAAATATTTATTTCTAAACAATACTGGTGTTTTGTGAGTTTTTGATGTTTATGTGAATATTATAAGCTATGCATTATTTCACATTTTTTTGTTAACATTCTTGTTGAGAGCTGCCATTATTGATGGCATAGTTCTCAGTCTACTGAATTCCATCATGTTCCATGATGTGTTTATTGAAATGTTACAATGAAAAACCTTCCTTATGCCTCTAAGTACACATGTGTGAGAGTTTCTAATGAATGTACTAGAAGAATGGCTGAACTACAGTGTGCATACAGTTTTAACTTTGAGGAGATAAAATGTTCTCATTAGGTTCTAGGGCTACTACTTTATAACTATTGTTCATCCATGCTAATTGGCTTAGCATATGTCTTAGATTTTTCATTTTTAATGAAGTATTATTATAAGTTACATTGATTAGGACCAGCATGTGTTTGTTAAATGCTCATTTTGTTTAATAATTACAGCCATTGTCAAGGCTCTATCAGTATGTGAAGAAAATAAAATATTAACAGAATGATGACTTGGGGTATAAGTCTGAAAATCAACTTTATTTTCCTAACACAGTTTATACGAAACATAGATAATGCTTCTTTTTCAAGGACAGCATGCAGCAGAGTGCTTGATAATAAATCAATATGCACTGAGTCAGTATTGGCTAGAAAAGGCTAGTTTCTTCCAATCTTGCCTGGTGACGGAAGAAGTATTTGATGTAGTTTTTTGTTTTGTTTTGCTTTTTTCTATGTGGCTCACTTACGTGACACTGCCAGGTCATCATATGGCGGGTTTGGGGAAAATGAAGGAAATAATAGGTACATATATGTAAATTTTGTGCTGGAAATAGAAGCTGAGCACACAGAGAGTAGTTAATTGGTCTGGCCATAGTGTTTTTGTCATCTCTCATATACCTACAACTATTTACTTATGGCCTGTTTGCTAATGACTATTTTTAAAAAAACTCTGTTTCAGCAGCAATGGCCTAAAAATGCAAGTAGATATTTAATTAAACTACTCAGTTTCCCTTTCAATCAGATTATAGGTTGAAAAGTGTCAATAAACACATGGTGTAATCATAAAGTCTGGTAGTCTATGTTGGGACCACAAGGCTAAAAGTGATATCCCGAAATCCAGAATATAGAGGTCTGAGGGGAAAAAGCAGCTGCTATTTCAAAAGGTAATACTTAGTTACATTAAGAAAACTATGCCTGAAGATGACATTTTCACAGGTTTATTATGTGAATTTGGAAAAATTAAGCATATAATTCCGAGATGCTTGGCTTTTTATTTACATCACATTACAATTTTTTAAAATCAATTGTGTATATTTTTAATTCCAATTTTCCTACACTTAAGAAATATGCATCAGTAATTGTTAACATGTTAGCTCCATTAGCTCCAGAAGAAATTACAAGAGTTGAATAATGCCATTTAGATGTTTCAAAGAGGTAAATTACATTAAAAAGTGTTTTGAATATTTAATCAATCATTGGGTCCAAAATAAAGCTGTGGATATATTATTGTGCCAGAAAAAAAACATTGAATATGATAAATTTATTTAAACTTCACTTAAAAAGCTAAAATAACTTTTATTGGTGACAAGAAGAAGCAACTTTGGAAAAGCTTGCAAGTAACTTTATTTAAAAATCAATATAATATTAAAACACATGCATTTTCCAGAAAAGAACTACAGATAATTATTGTTAAGAAACAGATTAATTCATATAAATATGTTCTAGAATAATTATTCTGCCTACTATTTTTAATATTTAAATAATAAATATAAAGAAGTTATTTTTCTACTTTGCCTCAAGATATGTAATTGTGGTTTTAAATTTTTGAAGGGATTTAATTTTCAAAAATAGTTAGAAGATAACTATTTTATAGATTCATTGATATAATAAAAAAATTGCCTGTAAGGAAATCATATAATAAATATTAAATAATTTTGTATATGTTTTTACTCTTTATTCTAAAAAAAGTTTCCATTGGAGCAATAAAAGTTTTAGTCACCCTAATTTCACCAAATATCATTAGATAGTCCTGTGATTGATGGAACCAAATTACCATTCCTTACACCCTTGACTACACTTGGTATTATTATTTTGTTGCCAAGCTAATGAACAAAAGTTGGAACATAATGTGGTTTTGATTGATACGCCCAGATTACTAATGAGCTCAAGCATCTACCCATTCTTCATTGGTCATGTGACTTTCCTCTTTTCTAAAATGGATTTATTTACCTGTCCTGCTTTCTTCTACTGGGCTAGATTGTCTACATATTTTCTTATCTACTTGTAAGAGTTATTTTGATGTTTTGGATACTGGTATTTTTATGTATATTTTTCTTAGTGGTTTTCTGGAGTTTTATAAACCCCCAAGATAATTTTTAGAATTTAGGATCTGAAGATTTTCAAAAAGCTAACTCAGAAGGCATTTGTGGCCATAATGCTAACTTCTAATGAAAAAAAAAAATTGCCACTTTAGCAAAAGGTATTTTAAACATACTAATTAGAAAGCACTAAAGTGCTCAAGTTTTCTTTTTCATAAAACCTAAATTTGAATAGTCATTTCAATAAAATCCTTTATCCTACAGTAAGAACCAATTATTACATGTTGATTACCTAGCTCCTGCATGGTTTTCTAAATATTTCACAATAGTCATTTTGGTAACAATCACTTATCATACTTGATAGAATTACTGGTTCTCCAGGTCTCATTTCAAATGATTGAACCAGGATTTTGAAGGAAAATAACGAGAAGTATCTGGATATATTTTTATGACCCACGTAATTATTTGGGGATGTTTGTGAAACTCTGGTCTGACACATAAGATAAAGTAAAACAATAACAACAACAAAATGAAAATAAACAACATCAAGTGAGGAGTCAGGAATAAATACCTTTTCTTTTCCTCACTCCCACCTTCTCAATCATATGCCCCTATCTTCTTTCTCATTCTTGGTAAATACTACTCCAACTATCTAGCACTTCACAGCAGTTATTAACCTGTTAGTTTGCAATTTAGCAAAAAAGTAAGAAATCTGTTTCTGAACATTTTCCTTAAGAACATGTTTCTAGCTATACACTGTGTGTCAGTTAATGCTATGCATGTCTGTAAAACAGGAGTATTTAACAAAAATATTTGACCACTGTGGCAAAATTACCTTCTGTAGATGATCCACTTCTACTAAGATTACGTTCACATTTTGGAGACTACTGACATTTTGTATTTCACATATTCATGGAAGATCGGAAAGCATCTTCAGATGTCAGTGTCTATAATGATAAGAGTTAATACTTGTATTAACTTCCAAATTTTTCTGTGTTAAAGCAGGTGTGCGGGTATTGGATAAACGGGTAGGCCACTGAGGCATAACTGTGGTTAAATTTGTAAAAGTTTTGGTGAAATTGCACATGACAACATCGCCACAGAAAATTTAGATTTTTGGCTCACCTTGGAGATGTTCAAGAAAATGACATTTTTTATTCTTAATGATTCCCCAGCTGGTTCTTAAAGGGAGATAGCACAATATTGTGGAAAGAGGCAGTTCTGTAAAATGACATTAGACTTTAAGATAAGCTAACTATTTTGAGACCCAAATTTCAGATGTATGAAGTGGGGTCTAAAATATCTAGTACCTGTGTGTGTAGTTATAAAGATCATATAATAACAATTGATTCTGTTTGCCTTACACTTTTCTATAAAAGAAAGACGTTATTTAATTTTGTTACTTAGTATAGCTTCGTGTGGGCATTTTTTTTTTTTTTTTTTTTTTTTTTTTTTTTTTTTTGAGACAGAGTCTCGCTCTGTCGCCCAGGCTGGAGTGCAGTGACGCGATCTCGGCTCACTGCAAGCTCCACCTCCCAGGTTCGCGCCATTCTCTTGCCTCAGCCTCCGGAGTAGCTGGGACTACAGGCACCTGCCACCACGCCCGGCTAATTTTTTGTATCTTTTAGTAGAGACAGGGTTTCACCGTGTTAGCCAGGACGGTCTCGATCCTCTGACCTCGTGATCCGCCCGCCTCGGCCTCCCAAAGTGCTGGGATTACAGGCGTGAGCCACCGCGCCCGGCCTGTGTGGGCATTTTTGAGGAACATTTATCTCGTGATAAAGAAAATAGTAATACTGGCAGAGAATGGTACTTATTCCAACATTGACTTTGCAGAACTCCAGCTGTTCCATAAAGAAAACGACATGAATTGAAAAAAAAAAAGTGGATGATTGAAGGTTGTTTAGGGGCCCGTCTTTATTTACTAAGACTATATAATTTTTGTAGAGGACACACAACCTGTGAAGTGTTGGATGTAAATGATGAAGAGTCATTGAGAAGAGGCTGCCTCAAGGATCATCCTCTACATTTCTAGCTTGAAATAAAGGGTATCTGGTGCTGTGAATTTCTGAAATAGTGGAATACTGTAAGAGGAAACATGTTTTGGGGATGAAAAGAAGGTCTGGTTTGGTATGTGGAGATGTAAGGCATGCAGTTGGATATGCCAAGTCTGAAGGTAGAACAAAGATCTGGCCTGAAGTTGGCAATTTCTTAATGGTCGGCATAGAAAGGGTGTTTTAGCCTTGAGAAAACCCAAGAGGATCCAAGACTGAATTCTGAACAACTTCAACACCGGTAGATTTAGTAAAGATGCCAACGAAATACACACCAAGTTCATATTAAAAGTAATAGGAAAAGACAAACGACTTAGTGAGAGGTATTCAGGCAACTAGCATTAGGTACCTATTAGGTAGCAAATTTGGGAAAAAAATGAAATATCTAAAAAAACCTTGATCAGGTTTCCAAATACACAAAATAAAAATCACACACATGTCAGAAGTCAATATACAAAATTGTATTATTGTAATGGTACTATTTAATGGCAATAAACAAAATAAAAATTATTCTGATATAAATCAATAGTATATTTTTTATCACTGTCTTCCTTTTCTTCTCAATGTATTTGTGTGTCGTTTTTCACTCACTAAGCAATGACTCCTCTTAATACATTATTTTTTACTTAATGCTCCATTTGTTTTTCATATGTGCAATATTACACTGCCCAATAGAGAAGAAATGCAGAATTTGGGCTGTTATATGAGAAACACCTTTGCTTTTCAGATTTGGGCATCTGGAGTGTGCTTAATTTAAGTATTCTCATCAGGCTTTGATTTTTCAGATTTCTGTATTCACTTCCCCAAAATAAACAGTGTCTGCAGGTGATGACTATAATAAAATTAAAATTATGCTGGCTTTTAAAAAATTATGCTTATGTAAATTTGGTGCTTTTAAGTTTGAGGACTATGTTAACCATTGCTTTCCTCAGAGTTCTCTATTCACTTTCCCCAGAACCTCAATCATTTTTCCCTTCAGACCAGGTATTACAATGAAGAATATTGCAGAGCTTGACATTCTTATCTGGAGAAATAGGGCCTGCAGGAAATCTTTCAAGAATTTTAAGATCATTCGGTGAAGTCTCAACCTGAAATTTTGTTGTCAGACCTAGGAAGTATCAGTGTCTTTAGCTTACCTTCTCATTTCCAGGTGTCTCCTTTCCTTTCCATGGCACCCAGTGTCTTTAGTCCAGAGAATTATGGTTTCAAAATCCAATTATCCTTTTTACAGTAATTTACTGATGACACCATATGGTATACTTTCACAAGGATGAATTTTATTGAAGAGTATTCCAATGCACATGCCAGTGCTAAAACCAAAGGAAAAAGTCACTTGTGCAAGGATCTGAAAGCCATTTGACAACATTTTAGAAGATGTACTTTTAGACTGGGTTTCTTTGATTCATTCTACATTTTAAATAGTATTTTTAAGTTGTAAATGCATAGAGGAGATGAAAAAAACAAATTAGACAACAAAACAGAGTACGTGAGCCCAGATGTATAATTTTGCATTCTGCAGTTGTCCCTAATAGAAGTTTGTTCAATTTCTCAGATATATATATAAAAACAGAATTTTAAAGTTAAAGTGAGTGTATACTCTATGTGCTGTTCTGTAGCTACCTTATTTATCCTAATCCTACTTTATCAACAAAGAGCAAATTTGTTCTCTAATAACACTAACAGCTATCACATACCATCTTCTGGAGGCAAAATACTGTACTAAAGAAGTTCCTTATTTCATGTTGAACAACTATGTCATTTCGAGGCTTTTGCTACAACAACAAAGAAAAACAGTAAGATCTTACACAGACATCTTTCTATACATATGTGAGTACATTTTAATATTCTTTTGATGTATAGATCCAAAAGATTCATGAGAACTGCTTTCTTGTGTGTTTTTTATTTTTCATTTTTCCAGTAAACAGTGACTGAAAAAAATCATTTGTAACTTACTTAAACCTAATTGCATGAGGTCAAAGAATTGTGGTGTTTATGACAGTGATTATTTGACATTTGTTAAGACTTGCTTACATACTATCATGTGACCAAATGTAAAATGGTAATAGTGAAGTTTCATTTGTGTTTGGGAATATTGTTTTTCTCTAATTATAGTACTTAGAAGTTGATATGTTTCTATTAGAATGTTTACTTAATTTTTCAAGACTTGTTTTTAATGTTTTCTTTTTGTAAACCTGACCTATCAATCTCCAAAAAATTTTTATTGAAATCACCCATTTTGGAAGTTATATTCTTCTGGATTCTCCACAGTGGCAGAAATAAATACAATGCATATATGTGTGTGTGTATATACACACAGATGCCCACAAATACACACACATACACACACACACACAAATATATAGATTCCTGCAGTTAGGAAGGCTGGCAAGTTCTAATAAACACAGTTGGCAATTTGGAGACCCAGGAGTATTGATAGTATAGTTATAGTCTGATACCAAAGGCCAGAGAACCAGGATGGCTAATGGTGTGTTTCCAGTTTGAAGGGTGACAACCTTGAGATCTGGGAAGAGCCAAGGTTTTAGTTTGAATCTAATGGCAGAAGAATTCAAAGCCTCAGCTCAAATACAATTAGGCAGGAAGTAGTCCCCTTTATTTTATCCTTTTTGTTCTACCCAAGTCTTATATCTTTCTTTACTCATTATCTAAAACGTTAATCTCATCCAGAAACACCCCCACAGACACAACAGAATAATGCCTGACCACACATCTGGGTGCACACTTGCGCAGTCAGACTGACACATAAAATTACCATATGAGTAGAGTAAAAAAAAAATCCCTGAAATTATATCCTTTTTTATTAGATATGTGTGCTAATTTTATTAGGTGCACACACATTTTAAGTAACTAACCCCTTGTTGAAGAGAGACTTCCATGAAGCAGTGGCCTTCTCTATTCTTAAAAATATATATTTTCTTGTATAAAAGCTTAGTTTTTATAAAATTAATATAAATATATCATCTTTCTATTGATTAGCATTTACCTAGTTTATTTGCTCCTATCCTTTTATTTTCAGTCCCCATGTGCTTTATGCATTAGGCTTCTCTCTTGCAAGTATTATTTAGCTGATATTTAATGAGTGAGTTTAGATCATTTACATTTATTATGATTGTAAGAAATAAACAGAGAAGAAAGAAGAAAAGGTGGCTCACCAGTAAGGACAGACTTATTTTAGAGAAAACAAACCTGAGAGGGCACCTTCTGGCTGAGTTAGGTCAGAGACACACTTTCTTAGGGACTAAGAGTTTTTACAGATTAAGGGTGGGAGAGTTTGTCAGAGGCTTGGACTACTTCTGTGTCTCTGTTGTGCTTGTTTGGGAGGGAGAGTTGTGTACCTGTTCCCATACATCTTTCTGCAGCTGCAGGCTTATCCCCGCATTCCACTTTTAGCTTCCCTAACTTGGTGCACCTGAAGGGAAAGGAGTGTACTTAATAAGGCCCACTGTTTTACTGGGGCCCATTGTATGAGGCGAAGTTTGACATTTACTCAACAGACTTTCCCTTCACCTCCCTCTGTGCTGAGTTGTCTTATTTGTGTTTTACTGTCTGCTCTTTTTAGCTGCTTGTAGTCAGAAGATAAGTGATTTCCATGAAATGCATGAGGCCACAAAAGGAGACAGAATTTAAAGTGGTGGTGTTTGTCCAAGATGCCAGTGCTCCTGCTCTATCAATAATTATTGTTATGTTGGGACTTATTTCTAACAACCGGCTTTCTACATATATGTGGTCCTTTCGTCACCGAATAGTGGCAAGCAGAATTTCCTGGATTTCTAAGTGTTTGATTTTAATTGTGATAATTTTCAGAAAATCCCAAAGTATGAAAAAATATATTGGAAATATCCACCTACATGTACTATTGATGTTGAAGAAATGAGCCATGCAAGAAAGGGCATCATATCAATAGACCACAGACATACCTGGCTTCAAATCTAGCTCTATGTGAATTTGTGCAAGCCATTTAAACTTTCTTCACCTTAGTCTTGTAATCTAGGAAATGAGTGTTATATTAATACTACCTCACAGGTTTTACCATTAAAATTAAATCAAGTAATATTTGTAAAGCATGTACAACAGTAACTGCTGCATACTAGGGAAGGTATGTCTTTATGAAATATAATGCAATAATTAAATGTTAACATTTTTCCATGTCAGTTAATCTCTCTTAGGAGTTGAAAAAGTAAATAAATATTGTGAGAGTATTGAAGGCTCTACAACACCTCCATCCTTTCTTCCTTCTTTCTCTCCATAGGTAATCATTGTCCTGAATTTTGCATGTAATTCTCCCACATCATGTTTTATACAGTAAATATTTATCCATATATACAGTATATATACAGTATATATTATATACACTATATATACAGTATATACTATATATACTGTATATATACTATATACACAGTATATATACTATATACTGTATATACTGTATGTATGTAATATATACAGTGTATATAATATGTATACTGTATATATACACTATATATACCGTACATATACTATATATATTATAGTATATAGTGTATATATACAGTATACATATATACAGTATATATTACATACATACAGTATATACAGTATAAAGTATATATACAGTATATATAGTATGTATACAGTATGAAGTATATATACAGTATATATAGTATGTATACAGTGTATATAGTATATGTATACAGTATAGAGTGTATATATACAGTATATATAGTATATTTATACAGTATATATACAGTATATATAGTGTATGTATACAGTATATATAGTGTATGTATACAGTAAATATAGTGTATATATACAGCATATATAGTATATATACAGTGTATATATAGTATATCTTATACTATATAGTATACTATAAAAGAGATACATAGTATATCTCTTTCAACGGAGGGTATGTATGAAAAATCACTTTTCTTTCACATAATGGATTAAAATACAGTGGTTAAAATGAATGAAATAGAACTGTCCATATAAACATTTGCAATTTCTAAACGATAACATGTTTGAAAACTGAATTGCAAGGGGATACATTTGGTATGAAATATTTACATACTTATATACTCTTTAAATGCCTCTAAAGAAATAGTATATATATAATATATATACACTGTATATATATAGTATATACACTCTATATACTATATACACTATATATATACTATATACACTATATATACTATATATCCACTGTATATATAGTGTATATATTGTATAAATACTGTATATATAGTATATATACAGTATATAGTATATATACAGTGTATATACAGTATATATACACTATATATCCACTGTATATATATACACTGTATATACTGTATATATATACCGTATACACTGTATATATACAGTATATATAGTATATATACACTGTATATAGTATATATACAGTGGATATACAGTATATATATACAGTGGATATACAGTATATATATACAGTGGATATATAGTATATATATACAGTGGATATATAGTATATATATACAGTGGATATATAGTATATATATACAGTGGATATATAGTATATATATACAGTGGATATATAGTATATATATACAGTGGATATATAGTATATATACAGTGGATATATAGTATATATACAGTGGATATATAGTATATATACAGTGTATATAGTATATATATACAGTTGATGTATAGTGTATATACAGTGGATATATATTATATATATATACAGTGGATATACAGTATATATACCATTGCTTTAGAGGCATTTAAAGAGTATATAAGTATTGCATACCAAATGTATCCCCTTGCAATTCAGTTTTCAAACATGTTATAGTTTTGAAATTGCAAATGTTTACATGGACAGTTCTTTTTCATTCATTTTAACCACTGTATTTCATTCCATTATGTGAAAGAAAAGTGATTTTTTATACATGTCCTCCATTGAAAGAGAGTTAGTATTTTTCCACAATTTCTTCTTAACCCCAAAACATTTTGTCCTGTGTCTATTTTTAACAAACATATAAACCGGCTTTTTTATAGTGTATATCAAGAAATAAAAGTTCCTGGTAATTTTGTGTGCCTGTCTCCAAATTTACCAAGCATGGGTACAGAACGCTCTGAAGTTACCACATTAATTCACAGGAACAGTGTATTAAATACTAAGGTTCCTGCTTCTCCACACCCTTTTCAACACATGATGATGTTTGACTTCTCAATTTTAGTCAGTATCATGGATAAAACATGGCCTTTTATTGTGATCTTAATTTTCTTTTCATGAATTTGTTGAATATTCAGCTTTTTTTCTCCTGTGAAGTGCCTGCTTAGATGCTTATTTGTTCTATATGTTGCCCTTTATCTGATAGATTTACACGTGTTATTTTATTTCATACTAATGTTTTGTGCTATAGCTGTCTCCAGTTGGTCATATGATTAACTTAATTTTTCATGATGTCTTAAGTCAAAAAGATTTTTATTTTAGTATGTCTACTTTTTAAAATTTTAATTTTTACTATTATTATTGCTACTTTATTATTATTATTATTACTATTTAGTTTTTTGAGATGGAATCTTGCTCTCTTACCAGGCTGGAGTGCAGTGGTGTGATCTCTGCTGACTGCAACCTCCACCTCCCATCTTCAAGTGATTCTCCTGCCTCAGCCTCCTGAGTAGCTGGGACTACAGGCACCCAACATCATGCCTGGCTAACTTTCATATTTTTAGTAGAGACGGGTTTCACCATGTTGGCCAGGATGGTCTCGATCTCCTGACCTCGTGATCCACCCTCCTCAGCCTCCCAATGTCCTGGGATTACAGGCGTGAGCCACTACACCTGGCTAAAATTTTTATTTTTTATTAAAGCCTTTTAAACTGTATTAACAGTATTTTTCTGAAACTATAAATTATTCTCTAATATTTTCTCCTAGCAATTTGGCAGCTTCGGTTTTGACATGTATTTTTAAAATCATCATCCATTTACTCTTGTGTATACTGTGACATAAAGATTTATTTTTATATGTCATTAATAAATGAGTCTAGTCCATTTGCCTTCAATTTATTTCTTAGGATATTATTGAATAGTGCATTACTTCAGCATTGCTTAGACTGTAACTTCTGTCATAACAGAGTATTTACTTCCAGGTTACTTCAATTTGCAATAGATTTTTCCATACCATAATATTTAGAAATAGCTGTATAGAAGTGTTCACTATTAAACAGAGTCCTCAGCCAGACACAGTGACTCATGCCAGTAAACCGACCACTTTGGGAAGCTGAGTGGGGCAGAACACAAGGTCAGGAGTTCGAGAACAGCCTGGCCAACATGGTAAAATAATGTCTCTACTAAAAATACAAAAACTAGCTGGACTTGGTGGCAGGCATCACCCAGCTATTTGGAAGGCTGAGGCAGGAGAGTCACTTGAAATCGGAAGGTGTAGGGTGCAATGAGTCGAGATTGCATCACTACACTCCAGCCTGGGAAACAAGAACAAAATTCCTTCTCAAAAAATAAATTAAAAAAAAGAGTCCTCTTTTTCCATCTTCCTCTTCCATACCATTGTTCTCCTGCACTTACTACAAAATTTGCCTGTATGAGTCCCATCCCGTTTCAATTCCATATTTAGAATCAGCTTGTCAATGAGCATGAAGCATCTTGCTGTAATTATCATTTCCTGAATTTATATTTTAATATAGAAAGAGACATCTTATGTGAAGATTTTTTAAATTATACTTTAAGTTCTAGGGTACATGTGCACAATGTGCAAGTTTGTTACATACGTATACATGTGCCATGTTGGTGTGCTGCACCCATTAACTCGTCATTTACATTGGGTATATCACCTAATGCTATCCCTCCCCACTCCCCCCAACCCATGACAGGCTCCAGCGTGTGATGTTCCCTACTCTGTGTACAAGTGTTCTCATTGTTCAATTCCCACCTATGAGTGAGAACATGCGGTGTCTGGTTTTTTGTCCTTACGATAGTTTGCTCAGAATGACAGTTTCCAGCTTCATCCATGTCCCTACAAATGACATGAACTCATCATTTTTTATGGCTGCATAGTATTCCATGGTGTTTATGTGCCACATTTTCTTAATCCAGTCTATCATTGATGGACATTTGGGTTGGTTCCAAGTCTTTGCTATTGTGAATAGTGCTGCAATGAACATACGTGTGCATGTATCTTTACAGCATCATGATTTATAATCCTTTGGGTATATACCCAGTAATGGTATGGCTGGATCAAATGGTATTTCCAGATCTAGATCCTTGAGGAATCGCCACACTGTCTTCCAGAATGGTTGAACTAGTTTACAGTACCACCAACAGTGTGAAGGTGTTCCTGTTTCTCCACATCCTCTCCAGCACCTGTTGTTTCCTGACTTTTTAATGATCACCATTCTAACTGGTGTGAGACGGTATCTCATTGTGGTTTTGATTTGCATTTCTCTGATGGCCAGTGATAGTGAGCATTTTTTCATGTGTTTTTTGGCTGCATAAATGTCTTCTTTTGAGAAGTGTCTGTTCATATCCTTTGCTGACTTTTTGATGGAGTTGTTTGCTTTTTTCTTGTAAATTTGTTTGAGATCTTTGTATATTCTGGATATTAGCCATTTGTCAGATGGGTAGATTGTAAAAGTTTTCTCCCACTCTGTAGGTTGCCTGCTCACTCTGGTGGTAGTTTCTTTTGCTGTGCAGAAGCCCTTTAGTTTAATTAGATCCCATTTGTCAATTTTGGCTTTTGTTGCCATTGCTTTTGTTGTTTTAGATATGAAGTCCTTGCCCATGCCTATGTCCTGAATGGTATTGCCTAGGTTTTTTTCTAGAGTTTTTATGGTTTTAGGTCTAACATTTAAGTCTTTAATCCATCTTGAAATAATTTCTATGTAAGGTATAAGGAAAGGATCCAGTTTCAGCTTTCTACATATGGCTAGCCAGTTTTCCCCACATCATTTATTAAATAGGGAATCCTTTCCCCATTTCTTGTTTTTGTCAGGTTTGTCAAAGTTCATATGGTTGTATATGTGTGGTATTATTTTCAAGGGCTCTGTTCTGTTCCATTGGTCTGTATCTCTGTTTTGGTACCAGTACCATGCTGTTTTGGTTACTGTAGCCTTGTAGCATAGTTTGAAGTCAGGTAGCGTGATGCCTCCAGCTTTGTTATTTTGGCTTTGGGTTGTCTTGACAATTTGGGCTTTTTTTTTGTTCCACATGAACTTTAAAATAGTTTTTTGCAATTCTGTGAAGAAAGTCATTGGTAGCTTGATGGGGATGGCATTGAATATATAAATTACCTTGGGCAGTGTGGCCATTTTCATGATATTGATTCTTCCTATCCATGAGCATGGTATGTTCTTCCATTTGTTTGCATCCTCTTTTATTTCATTGAGCAGTGGTTTGTAGTTCTCCTTGAAGAGGTCCTTCATCATGTGAAGATTTTTTAACAATTGCCCAGCACACGTTTTTATGTGTATTTTGGCTTTCATTTATTTTGCCCTTCAATAAAATTTAAAACTTTTACTTGAACATTTTCAGTTTTTACTACATTCATTTTTATATGGCTTATAATTTTGTTTGTTCTCATAAACTCTATCAATTAAATTGTAATTAAATTCGAATCATATTGTTTAGAATTTTAGGTGCACCTTAACCATATGCTTAATTACTCATTGTTAGTGTTATTGTTTACATTGTTATTGCTAGCTTAGGAATATGTTCTTCTTTATTAATTTGTTTACTCACTTTAGTTCTTAAATTTTTCTTTTTGTGTGAAATTTCCTCTTTCCTCAAACTTAACCTTAACAAATTACTTCAGCAAGCAAACTCTCTGTACTACGTCCTTTCAAGTTTTGTATATCATAAAGTATCTTTATTTCACACTCAAACTTTAACGATAGTTTTTTAAAATATATTATTTTAGATCATGGCTTGAAAAAATCCTGCTACTTTATGTTTAATTGTTGCTTTTTAGAAACTTCTTGCTCATGTAAATGCCATTCGTGTACACAGAACTTGTCATTTATTTCTAGTATCCTTTAAGATAATTTAATTGTGTTTGGTATCTGTTTAGGGTATTTTTTGTTTGTTTTGGGTGACAACAATAAAGCTTTACTCTCTGAGCAAGTTTTTTAACTATACAGTACAGTATTGGTAAACGTAGTCACCATAGGGGAATGCTTGCATGAGCTATCAATGAAGTTCCAGCTGTCAAGACTTGTGGTGTATAATGAGTTTCCTTCTCCAGATGTCTTAGATCTATAATGGTATAGCTTACTTTTCCCAGCATTTATAAACTTTGTTTTTCAGAAAAACAATAGTAGCTGCAAATGTGGAACATTTGCATTCTGCCTGATGTCTGCAAATGTGTATTATCTTGCACTCAATCTGAATGTTCTATATCACACCTATTATCTAATTTTCACTATCACTGTCATAGCCTATGACTCAGGATGACTGTAGGGACAAGCAGTGGCTCTCCTTGCACTTCTGGCCCAATGTATCATATGTAAAGTAAGTGAAAAGTGTGCTTACTTTGCAAATACTGCTTTAAGACATATCTCTTAGCATCTTATGTATATTCATTTAAGTTTAGCCCTCGTGGATTTCCCAATGACGTCGTTCAGACTTCTGTTAAAAAAAATGTGTATTTCATTTTGGTTAGTTTTTATTCTGCCTGTATTTATTCTTTATTTTTAAGGACAAGTACAAGACACAAAACTGAAATATTTTATGCAATCTACATAGAATTAACCCTCTATGTCACTTAGAATGCCTGTGTGTGTGTAGAAAAATTTGAGTTGTGTGTTCCTTTTTATTATTTTGCCACTATGTCAATAGGTAGAACTTGTGTTCTTTTCCATTAATTAACAAAAATAATATGTGGGTATGGTTGTGTGACTTTAAAACTCAAAACAAGCTTATTTTATTATAAAACATTCAATTTAATTTTGTGAAATCAGACATAGATTTTAAAATATGTTTAAATCAATTTAAAGTCATCTAACTTCATTTAAATTCAATAAAGTGACCTTTGTTTCCTTGTTTTTTGATGGTCTCAAATCTTGCTCCATGTCATTTTCTCAGAGAAAATTAGTAACAAAACGTCAGCTTTACCGATTCAAAATTGCCAATGCCTTGCCTGTTCTTGAAGTCTTAGCTCATTTTATTGGGAGACTTCACCATCTTTATTTCAACTAAGTTATTGAAGACTTCAAAACTGAGTGGTTAAATAAATTAACTACCACCTATTTCTGTGGTGGAACTACTTCTACTCAGGGTGCTGGAGATGATACTATTTCATGGCCTTAAGTTTCTAATCAAAGACGTACTAAATCAGATTGAGTTATTCACTGCTCTTCCTTGGCCACCTGACATTACGGTTGAATCAGTAACATTTTAAAGCCTGATTGTTAGGTCAAAACAAGCAAAAGGCATGGTTCAATTGGACTTCTAATTTAAAACGAGGAAAGAAGGAAGGAAGGAAGAAGGGAAGGAAGGAAGGAAAGAAGGAAAGAAAGGAGGGAGGGAAGGAGGGAAGAAGGGGACACAAAAAGCTAAAGATAAAGCTTGTCATCAGCATGAACTCTGCTACTGTATTATTTCATTAAATGAGAAAGCCAAAATTTGTGTTACGCAGGAAGTGTAAATGGAAGTAGATCTCTGCTATCTATATATTATTTGTAGGTTCTGGCTTCAACTGAACCAGTACACCCAACTTGCACTGTATGGCATGACCTGATCATGTTCCTGCAGCTTTTTAAATATGGTTCATTTTTTTTCTTTATAGCTTTATTTCTTCAGTGACTTCCAGATAGTCATATTGACTGTCAGTCCCATATTCACTCTCAGTCTCAGTTTATTATTTCTATGTTCACGTATTTTTTTTTTTTTTTTGAATTTTGTATTTTAGGGAAGACCCCAGTGGTGCGCATCTCCTTTTGTTTTACTCTGGCACTAAGGTTGATGTAGGGCCATCAATGTTCTGTCTTTAGGATTATATATAACCTATGATTTACATGCAGTTTGTCATCAAAAATTTGCATACATTTAATTCAACATCTCTTTCCACTTTGCTAATTCACCTCTTGTCTTCTGAATGTTTTCAACTGGACCTTGCCAGCCACCTCCCCTTTCTAGAAAGAACTTTCTTTCTCAACAATGTAGATGAAACTACTTTTCTAACTGTAGTGATGGATCTAAATGGAACTTCATAAATCTTTACAACATTACAGCTCAATACATTGATTGCCATCAGTGACATATCATTAAAACTATTTTTGTCAAAATAAATCTTGGTGTGGGGATGGGCAGAGATGTGGGGATGGACTTTTCCAAAAGAGTACCATCACTTTATTTCAGTTTTTAGAATACATTTTTGGGGGTAGTAGAATAACTGGACCTTTAATGAATTGGAATAAAACAAACCATCATCACTTCAATCTATAACTGAACTTTGGAAGAACTGGTACACTGAGTTTAAACTGTAGTTTCAGTTCACAGAATTCCTCATTTTGATAATACAGCATATTTCCCAAGTGGAACACTCTTTAATGGGATGGGTCCTGCATTTACAAGCGGCTTTCAAGACTGGTGACTTTACACCACTGCCTACAATAACTAGAGTAGAATTATTGCTTCCCTAGATTTGTGTCTCTCTATATAACAAGAGGGGAAAAATGGCTTAAAAAATCAAAGCCAATGACTCTAGAAGGAAACCTTCTAATGCCTTGGCTGTTATTAATGCACTCCTAGGGGAACACTTTAATGGCTCGACACCATAGCCCTGCTTTCCTGGCCAATCTGCCCCCTGGATCTTCTGTAAGGCCAGGATAGCCTCTGTTACCTTTAAATGAGCAGAAAGACACCTTTTTCTAGCTCCATAGTGCCTACTTAAAACAAAAACAGGCAATGCATATCTTGACTATCCTTGAATAAGGCCTTAGTTAAAACAGAAGACAAATATTGAGACCAATTGATATATCATTTTTGAATTCAGCAAAGCTGTCTTTTATTTCTTTATAAGAAGTGATCAGTTGGCAATGAGAAACCTAGAAAAGTTGTTAAAATTAATTTGCTTCTCTAAGAATGTGAAATAAATCATCCTTTTTAGTTTTACTCAAAAGGCAGGAGAGTGGTGATCTGTGTATCATCCACTATTCTCTTCATTGCAATGAGGTTAAAAGATAGCATGAACAATAATGGTTAATACTATACTTACATTTTAACTAAAAAGTTAAGGTTTACAATGCATTCTATTTTACCCAGAAGTGTGTAGCCATTATTCCAACTGTATTCATTTGGATGTGTTTAAGCATTAAATCCATAATGTCTGGAACACAGTGTACAGTCATATCTTATTCTCCCTGTCTTGTGGGTAGCTGATCCACAACATTTTGAAGAGTTGTGTCACTGATTCATGGGTATGAATATGAAATAGCATGTATCTTGAGTATCTCTTATTCTTGCTAGATGCAATGTCACCGATGCACTACCTCCCATGAAGTTGTATGGATCTCTTCATCACTAATAAACTATGACAGAGCTCCAAATTACTACAACTCCTAGGAGGATTTCTACTTTGGGATTTCTGGGGCCTAGGTTTCTGTTCTTCCTACAAATTACTGATTGCATTATTTCGTGAAAAATCATCTATTTAGTAGCAGTATGTGCTGAATCAGGTTGTGTAAAGTAAAACTAATAAGCTTTCTAGGATGGAAAGTCTTTTAAAAAAAGATTGTCAAATGAATCTATTTTTAACAATGGTAACAGAAACTAGCAAGTGCATATGTTGAAGGCAGAATAACATGCAGAACCTCTTTGCTGTTTCAGAGGAAAAGATGGCAACCCATCATCAGCATGATAGCATGATCACCTTCAGTAGAATACTGTTTCTATTTTTAGGTACAGTGTGATTTTAACTTTGCTGGATTGGTAATTATAATTAAGGTAGGTGCAGGAATAATCCATGATCAATGAAAATAAATACCTTATATATAAAAATACTACTACTAGTCAGGTATTTAAGAATTATAAAATTTGTTTTCTACTGTCAGATATTCATTACCTCGAATGAAAACTGTACAAGGGCACACTTTTCAAATCAAATGTAAGTCTCTCTCATAAATATTTGTGTGATTGAAACTCAATGATTCTTTCCTAGAGGCTTCTAATGGAGAGATCATTACTGAAGCACACATTAAAATAGACTCCTGGGATAACACTATTTATGTCAACATTAAGAAGAATTTTGGGGCCGGGCGCGGTGGCTCACGCCTGTAATACCAGCACTTTGGGAGGCCGAGGCGGGTGGATCATGAGGTCAGGAGATCGAGACCATCCTGGCTAACAAGGTGAAACCCCGTCTCTACTAAAAATACAAAAAATTAGCCGGGCGCGGTGGCGGGCGCCTGTAGTCCCAGCTACTCGGGAGGCTGAGGCAGGAGAATGGCGTGAACCCGGGAAGCGGAGCTTGCAGTGAGCCGAGATTCCGCCACTGCACTCCAGCCTGGGCGACAGACCGAGACTCCGTCTCAAAAAAAAAAAAAAAAAAAGAAGAAGAATTTTGGGAGATGTGAGATGTTTGCAGTTTGTCCTTCCTCTTTCTTTTCTTTTCCTTTTTTTTTTTTTTTGAGATGGAGTCTCACTCTGTGGCCCAGGCTGGAGTGCAGTGGTGCATCTCAGCTCGCTGCAAGCTCCATCTCCTGGGTTCACGACATTCTCTGCCTGAGCCTCACGAGTAGCTGGGACTATAGGTGGCTGCCAACACAACTGGCTAATTTTTGTATTTTTAGTAGAGACAGGGTTTCACCATAGCCAGGATGGTCTCGATCTCCTGACCTTGTGATCCTCTGCCTCGCCCCCTAAAGTGCTGGGATTACAGGCGTGAGCCACTGTTCTAGACAGTAGTTATTTCAATATCCTCTGAACAATTTTAACTTAAGGTAACTTCATGTTTCTTTGTAATATTAAAGAGTCTTTGGATTCAACTTTAAATCTTGAATACAGAGGATTTAACTATTTAGAGTAAGGACAGATATATTTAAGGTAATAATTTTGGTTGAAGTATCTACTCTGTGACAGAAGATATGCTCTCTGCACTGATCAGTTTGCCTACTTGTGGAAGATCATAAAGCACCATAGGCAAATCCAGGATTCTGTCCTTGTTCCCTGATTGTTCTTGCTGGGCCTTCCTCCAAATCCTGACTGCCTCACTGGCATGCAAGTTTGAGTAGGGTGCTGTACGTGGTTTAAGCAGTGAAAGCTGACCTGCAACCACTACAAAACAATAATCATACAAACTTATTCAGTGTCTTTGTACTACATTATGATACTAATCCCACTGAGTATAGTTCAGTTTCTGCAATCCTCTTGAATGACACCTTTGTTAATAATTTTCCATGGTAACTTTTGGAATATATTCCTCTCGAAAATTTAGTTGGGTTTATCTATGATATATTGACGAATACCTGGCTTTTTCTCTGCAAGCAACTATGCATAAGATCGAAACAAGATTAGCAAAATGCCAGGTGCGATGGCTCACGTCTGTATCCCAGCACTTTGTGAGGCTGAGTTGGGTGGATCACTTGAGGTCAGGACTTCAAGACCAGCCTGGGTAATATGACGAAATGACATCTGTACTACAAATACAAAAATTAGCCGTGCATGGTGGTGAATGCCTTTGGTCCAACTACTCAGGAGGCTGACAGAGAAGAATCACTTGAACCTAAAGTTGGAGACTGCAGTGAGCCAGGATCGTGATATTGCACTCCTGCCTGAGTTACCCAGTGAGACTCTGTCTCAAAAATATATATAAAATAAAATAAAATAAAGAGATAAAATAAAATAAAATAAAATATAAAAGCTCCAGGATATCCTCTTCCCTATGTATCACACATCATCATTTAAAGAACAGGACATCTAGTTATAAAAATTTATAGTATCGCTATATCAGCAATAATATTAAATATAAAATTTTAATTTTTAAGTTCATTGTTGAAGACTTAAAAAGGTGCAGAACACATACAGTTCCAATGTGTATCATTATTAAGAGAAATTTTTGGATCAAAAAATGAATTAATGTCAAAATTTGTCATATGGAATCTCATATGTATGATAATGCGTATTAATACTTTGGCACATGTGTTTGGTAATTTGGTGACAAAAAGAGAAAAAATTCTTAACATATCAACTTACTTTGTATTTAACAAAAAATAATCCCTACTAACCATGTAAGTTAAATTTAATATTTCATGTTTATTTGAATTATAATAAATTTGCCATGGAGAATATTTAAGTGTGTGTGTGTTGGAGAGGTGGAATTTCTTATTGTAAAATGGATTATGTTACAAAATTATTTCAAATTAGTTATTTTGGAAAAAGGTATACATTTTCCCATAATAGTAATGCCACAAGAATTAGAAAGATACATAACAATATTTTTAATTGTAGGATCTAATATTAATAAACTTTGACAGGCAAGACATAATTCACTTTGATTCTAAAATAAGTGAGAGGATGGTTATAAGAGTGGAGGAATACAGCCAGTAGAAATGAGAAAAAGATCTGACAACTGAACACCTCTAAAATCACGAGCAAGGGATAAAACTTTCTGGGTATGGATTTCTATTGGAAAGGTAACATGTACAAGTTACCTGCAATCTAACTGTTAACATAATAAAAAGCATATAACAGCTTATTATTTAAAATTAATAGTCCTGTTGCTGAGCACATATTCATACTTTCTGAGGCAGAATTGTGCTTTCCTGTTCCTTGCTTCCTGGTAGAGGACAACTGGATGCTCAGAGATGGGAAAGAAGGAAATTTTTAGATTCTTTGTTCTAAAAACAACCAATCTGCACAAAAGACTATTCTCACAACATCCCAGGAGAACCTGCCCTGCCCTACATTCTTAGATGGATGAATGGGCCGATCCAAATAGAAATTTCAAATAATCTCTAAGTAGGTTACCTTCTATCTTTATGTACACAAAATGTGTACATCTTGAGGTGTAGTTGGGCATTGATTACCATAATAAATCCCGGTGTGTACTCAAGCACCCTCTGACCTAGTAAAAATGCTGCCTGTTAACTTATCAATGTTGTTGCTAACTAATGAAGGATAAGTAATAATTGTTTATAACATTTTAATACTTGTTTTAGTGATTATTTAATATTTTAGCCATCCAGTCAGATAATGTTTATGTGTACTATTAATATGTCCTCTCTTTGGAACCTCATAAAAAGAAAATTGCACATAAGAATGCTTTTACTACCAAGATTTACATAAGGATAAACTTGGACAGAAGCTATTTATACATTCAAAAACATTTATTTAGGAAAATAATATGCTATCACCAATAATTTTACTACTGAACAAAGTTTTGCATCTAAGGCAAATGGGATTATTTGAAATTAATTACTTGAAAAAATTGAATGCATTCATGTTTTAGTATGAACTTAGTATGCCAATTTTCTAAAGAATACAGTTAATGTTACTCATTCCTCATACAGTTCCAGTTTGCTGAGCATGTACTGCATATTTGGAACTTGGAGATTCATTAGTTAATGCACGATATATGAAAACTACCTTCTCTGATGTAAAAAATATTATATATTTTTATGTCAAACATCGGCATATGAACGCATACATTTGATGATACTTTAAAGTCTAAACTCTCCTTGAACTGACATTCATTCAAATTATTCATAAGCTTACAAACACAATTGTTATCCTAGCATCCATTGTTTTCTATTCTATCCTGCAATTAAAATATTTCACTGCAAAATGTCCTCAATATTTTATTTTCCTCTGCATTATTTTCTTCATGCCAGAGAAAATAAAGTAATGTAAGGAAAAGGTGCAGAAGATCAGAGAGAAAGTGCGACATGAGCTGATTCCTGAAAGGAGAATGAAACTCCCAACCAGTTGCAGAAGGGACTTGACTATCTGGCAAAGGAACTTAGAACTGATTTCATGGTAACCTCGGAACCTTCATATTTTCTCTTTCTTACTTTCTTTTGTGCAAATTATTTCTTAGTTTCCAGATGTGGGACCTTTGCTTACATTGTTTCTTTGATTCAGAGGTCATCAAGAAATTTAAAAAAGAGTTTCAATCCAGCAGTTAATAGATGGAATATGAACAAGAAATCAGCAAGGATTGTTTTTATTTTATTTTATTTTTATTTTATTTTTTTCCCACGTTCATAAAGCTAAATGAAACCTTCAGGTTTAAAAATTCTCCTCTTTCCTGGAGAAAAATTAAGGTCTAAAGTTCCGAGGCTAGTAAAAAATAAAGCATCACTTCCCCTCTGACTACAAGCAAAATAAAACAAACCTTCCATCTAGGACAGCAGGAATGTGGCTTGGTAAAACTGCAATCAAAGCTGCTCTGTAGATCAGCCAGCAGTGCATCTCAAGTGGTAATCTGGGAGCATGCCAACACTATAATGCTTTCAACTCTAGTTAGCAAATACTCACTTGTAAGATAAAAGTCTGTCTTCCATGAGTAACCATCAAGGCCATAATATTGTCAAACCCAAAGGAAATTATTTTCTCTTATCTTATTCCCAATATAAATTAGACATGTTTTGTAAATAAATACTGCTTGACATTACCTAGGTTTTAATCAAACACAAAAGTTTTATAGGTTCAAAGTATGTGTATCCTGAGATAGGTAAACTAATAGAAAATATATCATGATATGCTGTTCACATTTTCAAAGGTAAAAAGAATATATAATTACTGAACTATATATTAAACTTTCAGAGGTATACAGAGAAATGCAGAGACATACAAATAATCCCATGATGAATATAAATAAATGAAAAAAGGAAGAAAAATCACAGACTGTAGTGATATAATAAGAGTCATAGTTGTTTTTTCTTTTATGTTTGTAAAAACGTAATAATTGTTGGATACCTGAAAATGTGACACTAATTCCCTTGACTAACATGGTACTGAATATTTTTTCCAAGGTTTGTATAGCCTTTAATTTAGATAAAATTAAGTTTAGCTGATGCAAATAATTTTGTGGGAGAATTTATTTAGCAAACACTACTTTAGAATTGGGTTCTAAAACTTTTATTAGAATTTGTTTACTTTGATCAATTTTAAAATAGTGGAAATTTTGAAGAAAGACAAAAGCTGTGAAAATAGCAAAGAGCTTGGTGTTTATTATATCTAAAATGCTAGTACCTTGCTTCTCCTTCTAAAATAAATAAATTTTAATCATGACAAAGAATTTTAAATATACTCTTAAGAAGTACAAAAATAGTGTTGGGAAAACTGGCTAGCCATATGCAGAAAACTGAAACTGGTCCCCTTCCTAACACCATTTATGAAAATCAACTCAAGATGGATCAAAGACTTAAATGTAAGACTTAGTAAGAGGTGAAGCCAGCTGAGCTTCTGGGCCAGGTAGAGACTTGGAGAAATTTTATGTCTAGCTAAAGGATTGTAAATGCTCCAATCAGGGCTCTGTGTCTAGCTAAAGTATTGCAAATGCACCAATCAGCACGCTGTAAAAACTGCACCAATCAGCACTCTGTGTCTAGCTAAAAGGATTGTAAATACACCAATCAGCACTCTGTAAAATGGACCAATCAGCACTCTGTAAAATGGACCAATCAGCACTCTGTAAAAGGGACCAATAGCACTCTGTAAAAGAGACCATTCAGCACTCTGTAAAACTGACCAATCAGCAGGATGGATGGGGCGAAATAAGGGAATAAAACTAGCCAACCAAGCCGGCAGCGGCAACCTGCTCAGGTCCCCTTCCATGCTGTGGAAACTTTGTTCTTTCACTGTTCACAATAAATCTTGCTGCTGCTCAATCTTTGGGTCTGCACTACCTTTATGAGCTGTAACACTCACTGTGAGGTTCCGCAACTTCATTCCTGAAGTCAGTGAGACCACAAACCCACCAGGACAAAAAAACAACTCCTGATGCACCACTTTTAAGAGCTGTAACACTCACTGCTAAGGTCTGAGGCATCAATTCTGAAGCCAGTGAGACCATGAACCCACTGAAAGGAAGAAACTCCAGACACATCTGAACAACTTAAGGAACAAACTCTGGATACATCATCATTAAAAGCTGTAACATTCAGTGCGGGGGTCCACAGCTTCATTCTTGAAGTCACTGAGATCAAGAACACACCAGAAGGAATAAATTCTGGACACATTTTGGCAACCACAAAGGGATTATTGACTCTCACCAATCGGTAAGTCCCATTGGACCCCTTTCCCTTGCTATTGTCCTATTTTTCCTTAGAATTCGGGGGCTAAATACCAGGAAATTGTTGGCCAGTTAAAAGTGACTAGCACAGCTGCTGGACTAAATACACAGGTGTCAGCCCTTTCTGGGAAAGGGCTCTCTAACAACCGCAGACTCTTCGGAGCTGGGAGCGTTGGTTTGCCTGGAATCAGCTTGCACTCTTCCTGTACTTCTAGGCTAAGCTGAGGGTCAACAGAGAGGAAAGCCATTCAGCTGGAGGGTCCGACAATAAATTGGTTGACCCTGTAGCCATGAGTGGAACTCTTGAAGTTACATTGCCCAAGTGAGACTTGCCTGTCTATCCTATCTATCCTGACCCTTGCCTCCTGTGTCCTAATGCCTGTCAGATGAACTTCCTCTCACCTCTCTTCTCTGAGGCTAGTCATGCTTCTAAAAACCACTCCCTGTTTCTGGTGCTTTTATAGTTTCTCCTATAAGAATGATTTCTAGTATAAACTCCAGGACACTATTGCCTTCTTAGGCACTGGGCCCACCAATTAGAAAGACATAATTTTTGCCCAAAGCCCCATTGTAGGGGGGACTATCTGGAATTTTAGGATCCTTTCTCAGATAAGCAGGCCCAACAAAAGCTTTTCCTAAAGCTAGGAGAAGGGGAGCCTCAGAAATGATATCCTTCCCATTCAAGTGAAGACAAAAGTTATCACTCTTCCAAGCCTGGAAATGCCTTCCCTCCCTCAGCGTATGGCCCTCCACTTCATTTTTGGGGCATAACGTCTTTATAGGAGAGTGGTAAGGTCCCAATATTAACAGGAGAGTCCTTAGGACTCTAACAGGTTTTTTGAGAATGCATCAGTAAGGGCCACTAAATCTGACATTCCTCATTCCTCCTTGTGGTCTAGGAGGAAAACTAGTATTTCTGCTGCTACGTCACTGAGCACAACTTTTCCTATCAGCAGGGTGCAGGGGCCATTGTGGGTACTTGGGCAGGAGGCATTTCTGCTGCTGCATCAGTGAGTGCAACTATTCTGATCAGCAGGGTCCAGGGACCATTGCAGGTTATTGGGCAGGGAGAGAAATGAATAAACCAAAACCATGAGTGGTTTTGTCTTTCAGATGGGAAACACTCAGGCATCAACAGGCTCATCCTTGAAATGCATCCTAAGCCATTGTGATCAATTTGTCCCACAAACCCTGAAAAAGAGATGGCTCATCTTTTTCTGCACTATGGCTTGACCCCAATATTCTCTCTCTGATGGGGAAAAATGGCCACCTGAGGGAAGTATAAATTACAATACTATCCTGCAGCTTGACTTTTCTGTTAAGAGGGAAGGCAATAGAGTGAAATAACTTATGTTCAAACTTTCTTTTCATTGAAGGAGAATCCAAAAATATGCAAAACTTGCAATTTATATCCCAAAGGAAGGCCTTTTAGCTTACCCCCATATCCTAGACTCCCTATGGCTCCCCTTCCTTTTAATGATGTCTCCTCTAATCTCCCCCACCCAGAAGGAAACAAGCAGAGAAATCCCCAAAGGACCACAAAAATCCCTGGGCTATCAGTTATATCCCCTTCAAGCTGTAGGGGGAGGGGAATGTCCCCCTTTCCCTCTCTGATTTAAAGCACATCAAGGCACACCTGGGGAAGTTTTAAGATGATCCTCATAGGTAAACAGATTTCCTACATGGTCTAGGGCACACCTTCAATCTCACTTGCAGAGATGTCATGCTATTGTTAGACAAAACCCTGGCCTTTAATGAAAATAATGTTGCTTTAGCTGCAGCCTGAGAGTTTGGAGATACTGGGTATCTTAGTGAAGTAAATGACAGAATGACAGCTGAAGAAAGGGATAAATTCCCTACTGGTCAACAAGCAATCCCTAGTGTGGATCACCACTGGGATCTAGACTCAGATCATGGTGATAGGAGTAGTAAACATCTGTTGACCAATGCTCTAGAAGGACTAGGGAGAATGAGGAAAAAGCCCATTAATTATTAAATGATATCCATCATAACTCAGGGAAAGGAAGAAAATCCTTCTGCCTTCCTTGAGTGGTTACAGGAGGCCTTAAGAAAATATACTCCCCTGTCACCCAACTCCCTTGAGGGTCAACTGATCCTAAAAGATAAGCTTATTACCCAATCCACCACAGATATTGGGAGAAAGCTCCAAAAGTGAGCCCTGGGCACTGAACAAAATCTGGAGGCATTATTAAACCTGAAAATCTTGGTGTTCTATAATAGGGACCAAGAGGAACAGGCCAAAAAGGAAAAGTGAGATGAGAAAAAGACCACAGCCTTAGTCATGGCCCTCAGGCAAACAAGCCATGGTGGTTCAGAGAGGACAGAAAATAGAGCAGAACAATAACCCAGTAAGGCTTGTTATCAGTGTGGTTTACAAGGACACTTTAAAAAAGATTGTACAACAAGAAATAAGCTGCTGCCTTGCCCATGTCCACTATGCCAAGGCAATCATTGGAAGACACACTGCCCCAGAGGACAAAGTTTCTCTGTGTCAGAAGCCCCCAACCAGACAATCCAACAACAGGACTGAGGGTGCCTGGGGCAAGTGCCAGCTCATGTCATCACTCTCACTGATCCCTGGGTACATTTAACCATTAAGGGTCAGGAAATTGACTTCCTCCTGGACACTGGCTTGGCTTTCTTGGTGTTAATCTCCTGTCCTGGACAGATTAACACCTGGGCAGGTGTTAGTCTCCTGTCCTCAATGTCCATTACCATTCGAGGAATCCTGGGACAGCCTGTACCCAGGTATTTCTCCCACCTCCACATTTGTAATTGGGAGACTGTACTCTTTTCACATGCCTTTCTTGTTATGCCTGAAATTCCCACACCCTTATTAGGGAGGGATATATTAGCCAAAGCTGAAATAATTATCTACATAAATATGGGGAACAAGTTACTTGAGGGAATCAACACTAAAGTCTGGGCATTGGAAGGATAATTTGGAAGGGCAAAAAATGCCCACCCAGTCCAAATCAGGCTAAAAGACTCCAACAGTTTTCCTTATCAAAGGCAACATTCCTTAAGGGCTGAAGCTCATAAAGGATTACTGGATATCGTTAAACACTTAAAAGCTCAAGGCTTAGTAAGGAAATACAGCAGTCCCTGCAACACCCCTATACTAGGAGCACAAAAACTGAATGGTCAGTGGAGAGTAGTGCAAGATCTTAGACTCATCAATGAGGCAGTAATTCCTCTATATCCAGTTGTACCCCACCCCTATATCCTGCTCTCTCAAATACCAGAGGAAGCAGAATGGTTCACTGTTCTGCACCTCAAGGATGCCTTCTTCTGTATTGCCCTGCATTCTGATTCCCAGTTTCTATTTGCTTTTGAGGATCCTATGGACCACATATCCCAACTTACATGAACAGTCTTGCCCCAAGGGTTTAGAGATAGCCCTCATCTGTTTGCTCAAGCACTAGTCCAAGATCTAGGCTACTTTTCAAGTCCAGACACTCTGGTCTTTCAGTATGTGGATGATTTACTTTTGGCTAACAGTTCAGAAGCCTCATGCCAGCAGACTACTCTAAATCCCTTGAACTATCTAATCAAGGGTACAATGCATCTAGGTCAAAGGCACAGCTTTGCCTACAGCAGGTCAAATATCTAGGCCTAATCTTAACCCGAGGGACCAGGACCCTCAGCAAGGAATTAATCACTGGCTTACCCTCACCCTAAGACATTAAAACAGTTGTGAGGGTTCCTTGCACATCACTGGCTTTTGCTGACTATGGGTCCCTGAATACAGCAAGATGGCCAGACCACTCTAGACTCTAATCAAGAAGACCCAGAAACAGCCTTCAAAATCTTAAAGCAGGCCATAGTACAAGTTCCAGCTTTAAGCCTTCCCACAGGAAAAAAAAAAAAAAAAAGCCAAAATAAAACTTCTCTTTATACATCACAGAGAGAGGAGGAATAACTCTTGGAGCCCTTACTCAGACTCATGGGGCAACCCCACAATCAGTGGCATACCTAAGTAAGGAAACTGATGTAGTAGCAAAACACTGGCCTCACTGGTTACAGGTAGTTGTGGCAGTGCCTGTCTTAGTGTGAGAGGCTATCAAAATACTACAAGGAAAGGATC
Source organism: Homo sapiens (assembly GCF_000001405.40). Taxonomy (NCBI): domain Eukaryota; kingdom Metazoa; phylum Chordata; class Mammalia; order Primates; family Hominidae; genus Homo; species Homo sapiens. Next base: position 8,207,683 of record NC_000024.10, on the reverse strand, counting down.
TCACTGTCTGGATTACTTATGAGGTAAATGGCAAACTAGGTGCCAAAGGAGGTTTCTGGTTATCAGACAACTGCCTATTTAGATACCAGGCACTACTCCTTGAGGAACTGGAGCTTCAAATGTGTACGCATGTGGCCCTAAACCCTGCCACTTCTCTCTGAGAGGATGGAGAACCAATTCAGCATGACAGCCAACAAATTATGCTAAGATAAATAAGTTCAGACTTATGCTGCCCGAGAGGATCTCTTAGATGTCCCCTTAGCTAATTATGACCTTAACCTATATACCAATGTATGTTCATTTGTGGCAAATGGGATATGAAGAGCAGGTTATGCCATAGTTAGTGATGTAACCGTACTTGAAAATAAGACTCTTCCCCCAGGGCCAAGTGCCCAGTTGGCAGAACTAGTGGTGCTTACCCAAGCCTTAGAACTGTGAAAAGGAAGAAGCATAAATGCATATACAGATAGTAAGTATGCTTATCTAATCCTACATACCCATGCTACAATATGGAAAGAAAGGGAGTTCATAACCTCTGGGGAAACCCCATTAAATGTCACAAGGAAATCACGGAGTTATTGCACGCAGTGCAAAAACCCAAGGAAGTGGCAGTCTTACACTGCCAAAGCCATCAAAAGGGGAAGGAGAGGGAAGAACAGCAACACAAGTGGCTGGCAGAGGCAGGGAAAGACTACCAGAAAGGAAACAGAGAAAGAGACAGAAAGTAAGAGAGAAAGAGAGAGACCAAGAAGGAGTCAAAGAGGGAAAGAGAGAGAAGTAGTAAAGAAAAAACAGTGTGCCCTATTACTTTAAAAGCCAGTGTAAATTTAAAACCTATCACTGATAATTGAAGGTCTTCTCCATGACCCTATAACACACCAATACCACCTTGTTTTCCATGTAAACAAGGGCATAGCCCAAAAGCCCTGAGGCCACTGACAACCCATAGCCTTCCTATCAAAAATCTTTAACCCTGCAGGTTTCCTAACAGGGGATCTAAGTCTTAATTATTTACCATAAAAATGTCCAACCAGATCTAGGATGAACTCCCTTCAGGACAGGATGATAGATGGTTCCTCTAGGGTGACTGAGGGAAAAAGACACAATGGGTATTCAGTAAGTGATAAGGAAACTCTTGTAAAGCAGAGTTAGGAAAATTGCCTAATAATTGGTCTGCTGAAACATGTGGGCTGTTTGCACTCAGCCAAACCTTAAAGTACTTACAAAATCAGGAAGTAGCCATCTATACCAATTCTAAATTAATATGGACTGGACTGAAAGAGGTCTTATTAATAGAATAGAGTAATTGAAATCCCAAACTTACAACTTTTCAACAAAAGTTTGCTAAAAGTTAACAGTGTAGCACGTATTATCCTAACTTCTAATCCTGAGGAAATCTGACCCTATCAGTACCCCTCAAAAACTCAAGTCCATCAGTGCAGAGCCATACAACTAATACCCCTCTGTATTGGGTTAGGAATGGCTACTGCTACAGGAACTGGAATAGCCAGTTATCTAATCTACTTAATTATCCTACTACCACACACTCTCAAAGGATTTCTCAGACAGTTTGCAAGAAATAACAAAATCTATCCTTACACTACAATCCCAAATAGACTCTGGCAGCAGTAACTCTCCAAAACTGCTGAGGCCTAGACCTCCTCACTGCTGAGAAAAGAGACTCTGCACCTGGGGGAAGAGTGTTGTTTTTACACCAAGCAGTCAGGAATAGTACAAGATGCCACCTGGCATTTACAGGAGAAGGCTTCTGAAATCAGACAACACCTTTCAAACTCTTATACCAACCTCTGGAGTTGGGCAACATGGCTTCTCCACTTTCTAGGTCCCATGGCAGCCATCTTGCCATTACTTGCCTTCAGGCCCTGTATTTTTAACCTCCTTGTCAAATTTGTTTCCTCTAGAATTGAGGCCATCAAGCTACAGATGGTCTTAGAAATGGAACCCCAAATGAGCTAAACTCACAACTTCTACTGATGACCCCTGGACTGACCCTCTGGCTCTTTCACTGGCCTAAAGAGTTCCCCTCTGGAGGACATTACAACTGCAGGCCCCATCTATGCCCCATCCAACAAGAAGTAGCTAGAGTGGTCATCACCCAATTCCCAAGAGCAGTTGGGATGTCCTGTTGAGAGGTGAAGTCAGCTGAGCTTCTGGGTTGGGTGGGGAATTGGAGAACTTTTGTGTCTTGCTAAAGGATTGTAAATGCACCAAGTGCTCTGTGTCTAGATAAAGGATTGTAAATGCACCAATCAACACTCTGTAAAATCGCACCAATCAGCACTCTGTGTCTAGCTAAAGGATTGTAAATGCACCAATCAGCATTCTGTGAAATGGACCAATCAACCCTCTGTAAAGTGGACCAATCAGCACTCTGTAAAATGGACCAATCAGCATTCTGTAAAATGGATCAATCAGCAGTATGTGGGCAGGATCAAATAAGGGAATAAAAGCTGGCCACCCAACCCAGCAGTGGCAACCCGCTCAGGTCCCCCTCCATGCTGTGAAAGCTTTGTTCTTTTACTCTTCACAATAAATCTTGCTGCTGCTCACTCTGGGTCTGCACTACCTTTATGAGTTGTATCACCCACCATAAGTGTCCACAGCTTTATTCCTGAAGTCAGCAATGCCACAAACCCACCAGGAGGAACAAACAACTCTGGACATGCCACCTTTAAGAGCTATAACACTCATTGCAAAGGTCTGCGACTTCACTCCTGAAGTCAGTGAGACCACACACCTACCAGAAGGAAGAAACTCTGGGCACATTTGAACCTCTGAAGGAACAAATTCTGGACACATCATCTTTAAGAACTGCAACACTCACTGCGAGCGTCTGTGGCTTCATTCTTGAAGTCAGGGAGACCAAGAATCTACCAGAAGGAATAATTTCCAGACACACTAGGACTAATAAAATCCTTGAAGAAAACCTGGGCAGTACTATTCAGGACATAGGAGTGGGCAAAGACTTCATGTCCAAAACACCAAAAACAATGGCAACAAAATACAAAATTGACAAATGAGATCTAATTAAACTACAGAGTTACTGTACAGCAAAAGAAACTGCCAGAGTGCACAGCCAACCTTCAGAATGGCAGAAAATTTTTGCAATCTATCCTTCTGACAAAGGGCTAATATCCAGAATCTATAAATAACTTAAACAAATTTACAAGAATAAAATAACGCCATCAAAAAAATGGGCAAAGGATATGAACAGACACTACTCAAAAGAAGACATTTATGCAACCAATAGACATATGAAAGAATGTTCATCACTGCACATTACAGAAATGCAAATCAAAAGCACAATGAGATACCATCTCACTCCAGTCAGAATGTCAATCATTAAAAAGTCAGGAAACAACAAATCCTAGAGAGCTTGTGGGAAAATAGGAAGCTTTTACGCTGTCAGTGAGCATGTAAATTAGTTCAACCATTGTGGAAGACAGTGTGGTGATTCCTCAAGGATGTAGAACTGGAGATACCATTTGGCTCAGCAACCCCATTACTGGGCATATACCAAAGAATTATAAATAATTATACAATAAAGAGACATGCACACTTACGTTTATTGTGGCACTATTCACAATAGCGAAGACTTGGACTCCTGAAAAAGAAGGTGAAGAAAGGAACCACGTGGTCAAATCAGTGAGTAATTGGTAAGTCATTGGTCCACATTCAAGGTCACCAACTTCTGAGGAAAGTTGGTTTAAGCTGAGTTTTCATTATGGGACAACAGTTATCAGCACAGCAGAAACAGAATATAAAAGTATAGAAACAGTTGCTTATGGCTAGCAGAGCTTGTTTCACAGGTTCAAAAATTAATATAAACTGTGGTCTCATATAATCCATGGTTCCCAGAAGAAGGAACACTAGACATAGAACTCTGGGAATGAGTAGGGAGAAATCATAAACAATATTATGCACAAGGGCATCAAGTCCCAGCATCAGCTTTAACACAATGGGCTTTACTAAGGATGGCTTTATACACAGAAGAGCCTAAAAACAAAAAGGAAGGAGAAATATCGCCTGCCTTATCACCTCCTTTTCCCTCAGTCCTACTATTACCGGGCCAAAATAACAAAGAGGAAATGGAGAGTTTTCCTGACCTCCCTCTTACTATAAGTAGAAAAAAAGGCAAGAAACATACTTCAGCTATGGGACCTTGTCTTAAACAAGCGGCATTAGAAGGGGAGCTTTTAGCATATCTGGTAATGCAAGACCAACATGGTCATCAAGCACATGAACCTGTTTCCTTTCACTCTTACGAAGAACTAAGAAAAAGCATTAAAGAAAACAGAGCCACTAGACCATCTGCAAAAAGAATGATTGAGGCCTTAGCAGACCACTTCTGTATGGCCCAATGGGACTGGTCAATGCTGCCTAAAGCAACTCTGGAGACTAGCCCATACCTCCTCTGGACGGTAGAATATGATGAACTGTGCGAACAACAAGACAACCAGAATCAGGCAGCCAGGCAAAATACAACTGTTGATAAGCTCCAGGGGAGGTATTCTCATGCTGATGTACAACAACAACTAAATTTTGAGCCCCAGGCCTATGCTCAAGTGTCTTTGTGTGCTCTCAGAGCTTGGGACTGAATTCCCAAGAGCTGAGCTCAGCAGGGGTCTTTTGTAAATGTTTGACAAGGGCCTCAAAAGCCATTTGTTGAGTTTATGGATCGATTAACTCAGGCAATTAAAACGCAAATTAGTCACACCTAGGCCACTCCTATCTTATTGTTGCAATTGGCTTTTGAAAACACTAATGTGGATTGCCAGCAGGGAGCTGATATAAGCATGTCACCTGGTAGGAACTGAGACAAACAAGGCCAGAATATTAGCTATGACATTAAGGCCACCTAAAGTGAAAAGGGAGAGAAACCGAAATTGTTTTCTATGTGGAGTGAAAGGTCATGGGAAGAGGCAATGCCCCTATAGTGAAAACCAAGCTAACTCGGGGAAAGAACCCTCTTCTATATGTTCCAGCTGTAGGAAAGGGTAACATTGGGCAAATCGATGCAGGTCTAAATTTGACAAAAATGGCAACCTCACAGGAAATCAGTCAGGAGACTTCATGAGGGGGCAGCCCCAGGCCCTGCTCCCATATGGGGCAATGCCAGTGGCTTTCCTCAGTCAGCTGGAAAGCCCACAGTCCTCTCTCTTAGAGCAGCCTCTACTGGGAGTGCAGGACTCGATTTACTCTGCCCGGACAAATTAGTGCTAAAAGAGGGAGAAGCCCTAAAAGGGTTGCAACTGGGATCTGTGGCCTGCTGCCTCCAGGAACAGCAGGATTAGTCCTGGGGCAGTCTAGCCTATCCAGTAAAGGAATTAATGTGCTCCCTGGGTTAATTGACAGCGATTACCAAGGTGAGATATTGGTTATGATGGAAGCTGCATATTCTTACCCTTGGATAAAAAATAACTTAGTTAAACATTTTACCATACTGGGGCTGGTCACAGTGGCTCACGCCTGTAATCCCAGCACTTTGGGAGGCCAACGTGGCTGGATCAAGAGGTCAGGAGATTGAGACCATCCTGGCTAACATGGTGAAACACCATTTCTACTAAAAATACAAAAAATTAGCTGGGCGTGGTGGTGGGCGCCTGTAGTCCCAGCTACTCAGGAGGCTGAGGGAGGAGAATGGCATGAACCCGGAGGCTGAGCTTGCAGTGAGCCAAGATTGCACCACTGCACTCCAGCCTGGATGACAGAGCGAGACTCTCTCAAAAAAAAAAAAAAAAAAATGTTTTACCTACTGGGTCCCTAAGGCACATGACAACAAAAGGGGAAAGGGAAGTTCTGGAAGCACAGGAGCACAGGAGTATACTGGAATCAATTAATCACTGATCAGAGACCATGATTACCTTAAAAATTGGTAGTAAGAATTTTAATGGATTATTGGACATGGGGGCAGACACTTCAATCATTAATGATCAGAACTGACCAGAAATTTGGCCTTGGGTCACTCAGAAGCAGAAAATTGTCAGCATCAGAGAAGCTCCCACAGCCAAATAGAGCATGTGCCCCCAAACATGCTGTGATTCAGAAGGAAGAAAGGCAGCTATACAGCCACTGATCATGCCCATCACTGTTAATCTTTGGGGTTGAGACCTATTAGCCCAGTGGTGAGGGGGGCACTCTGCAGAACCCTTTCTAACAATGACCACTGTTGTTATTCCTCCACTACCTCTGACTTGACTCTCTCAATATCTGGTCTGGGTAGAACAGTGGCCTCTGAAGGTAGAGAAATTACAGACAACTCGTGAGTTAGTTGAGGAGCAGTTAAAGGCTGGACATCTTGAACATTCTACCAGTTCCTGGAATTCACCTATTTCCTCGTTCCCAAAATGCCTGGGAAATGGAGGTTTTTGTATGACTTGCATCCTATTAATGCTAATTTACAGCCCATGTGACCCCTTCAAAGGGACTCCCCTCCCCAGCAGTGATTCCTCGAGATTGGCCTATAGTTGTTCTTGATTTAAAATGTTGCTTCTATACCATTCCTCCAGCAGAATATGAGAGAGAGAAGAATTTGTGTTTACAATACCAGCTATTAAGAAAGAAAAGCCAGCTTGTCGATTTCATTGGAAAGTCCTTCCTCAAGGCATGCTAAATAGTCCTACCATATGTCAGTATCATGTAAATCAAGCAGACCCCCACAGCTAATGCCCTCTTGTAAGGAGCAATACCTCAGTTAGGAAACTCAAACTACTGGTAGTTGAACTTAGGGTAGTAGAGTTTGAGTCCCACTAAGTTAGAGAGTAGACAAAAACCTTTCGCTTCCTATTGAAATTGCAGAAAGGTTACACATTAGGAAGAAAATCTATAAGCCAGGAATAAAGAATTCACAATAAGAATAAGGAAAAAATCCAAACAGTCTCATCCCAATAAAGTATAAGACAAAGGTTCTACAGCATCAGTATGACTAGCCAACAATTTCTGCTAGAAGAAATGTCAACCTTCTTCAGAGAAAGAAAACAAATCCATTCTCTAAAGGGGAACGGCAGTTCACAGAAAAATGTTATTAGGCATATAAAGAAACAGGAGCAAATTGACATAGGAGAGACAAATAAGAAGTCAGACTCTACCATGACCCAGATATTGGAATTAACACACAAGGACCTTAAAACTCTTCTTTAAAATGTGTTCAAGGAATTAAAAGGAAAGACAAAAAGGCTTTATTAGCAGAGATAATTCAATATTTGAGAAATTTAAAAAGTGGATGGTTTTAGCAAGACTTGGAGAAGAAAATAAGGTGAGTGTTCAAGAATGTGGTAGGCAAAACGGCTTCTAGATACTACAAAAAAATAAAGTGAATGGACTCTCTGGTAGAGACTCTAGAAGAAATGCAGCCTTGCCTACACTTTGATTATAATTTTCTGAACCCACTTCAGAATTCTGAAGTCCAGAACTGTGAGAAAATACAGTGTAATCTAAGGCCCGAAGAAGAAGAAAGGGTCAGCTCTAAGAAGACTAACAGAAAATGGTATGGGAAAAAGCAGAGGGGGAAAGCTCTGAACCAAGACAGAACTAGAAAACATGGGCAACATGAATGAAATATTATTGACTCTGGAATAAGGGGTGGGCCTGAGATATGAGGCTAGAGCGTGAGACAGGAGCCACATCATGAGGGCCTTTTGCATGCTGGTAAATCAAGTAGTTACTTTCTGAGACATATCCTCCACAAACATTCCTTAAGAAGAGTGACTTAATATAATGTACATTTTTTTTAAAGGGAATATTATAGAGAATAAATTTGAGAAGGCAAAAGTGAGAAGGTGTTAAACTTTAGGGAAGCTATTGCAGTAGATGAAGCAAAATATAAGGTGGCTTGGATTTACAGTGGATATTGAGAGCAGAGCATAGTCCAGTGATATTAAACTAAGTTTAGCAGAACTTAATTTTGGATTTGATGTAAAGTTTTAAGGAAGGAAGAAATTGAGGATAGTCCTTTGGTGTTTTGTCTTGAGTGGTTGATAGTGGCTTATGGATATTTACCAGTGAAATGTTAATAAAAGACTCATTTGGAAATTGAAGCTGGAATGGCCTGAATGCAAAGCTCTTACTTTTTAAATTTCTTCTTATTATTATACTTTAAGTTTTAGGGTACATGTGCACAATGTGCAGGTTCGTTACATATGTATACATATGCCATGTTGGTGCACTGGACCCATTAACTCGTCATTTAGCATTAGATATATCTCCTAATGCCATCACTCCCTGCTCCCCCCACCCCACAACAGGCCCTGGTGTGTGATGTTCCCCTTCCCGTGTTCATGTGTTCTTATTGTTCAATTCCCACCTATGAGTGACAACATGCGGTGTTTGGTTTTTTGTCCTTTCAATAGTTTGCTGAGAATGATGGCTTCCAGTTTCATCCATGTCCCTACAAAGGACATGAACTCATCATTTTTTATGGCTGCATAGTATTTCATGGTGTATATGTGTCACATTTCCTTAATCCAGTCTATCACTGTTGGACATTTGGGTTCGTTCCAAGTCTTTGCTATTGTGAATAGTGCCACAATAAACATACGTGTGCATGTGTCCTTATAGCAGCATGATTTATAGTCCTTCGGGTATATACCCAGTAATGGGATAGCTGGGTCAAAAGGTATTTCTAGTGCTAGATCCCTGAAGAATCACCACACCAACTTCCACAATGGTTGAACTAGTTTACTGTCCCACCAACAGTGTAAACGTGTTCCTAATTCTCCACATCCTCTCCAGCACCTGTTGTTTCCTGACATTTTAATAATCGCCTTTCTAACTGGTGTGAGATGGTATCTCATTGTGGTTTTGATTTTCATTTCTCTGATGGCCAGTGATGATAAGCATTTTTTCATGTGTCTGTTGCCTGCATAAATGTCTTTTGAGAAGTGTCTGTTCATATCCTTCGCCCACTTTTTGATGGGGTTGTTTGTTTTTTTCTTGTAAATTTGATTGAGTTCATTGTAGATTCTGGTTATTAGCCCTTTGTCAGAAGAGTAAACTGCAAAAATTTTCTCCCATTCTCTGATGGTAGTTTCTTTTGCTGTGCAGAAGCTCTTTAGTTTAATTAGATCCCATTTGTCAATTTTGGCTTTTGTTGTCATTGCTTTTGGTGCTTTATACATGAAGTCCTTGTCCATGCCTATATCCTGAATGGTATTGCCTAGGTTTTCTTCTAGGGTCTTTATGGTTTCAGGTCTAACATTTAAGTCTTTAATCCATCTTGAATTAATTTTTTTATAAGGTGTAAGGAAGGGATCCAGTTTCAGCTTTCCATATATGGCTAGCCAGTTTTCCCCACACCATTTATTAAATAGGGAATCCTTTCCCCATTGCTTGTTTTTGTCAGATTTGTCAAAGATCAGATGGTTGCATATATGCAGCATTATTTCTGAGGGCTGTGTTCTGTTCCAGTCTTCTATATCTCTGTTTCGGTACCAGTACCATGCTGTTTTGGTTACTGCAGCTTTGTAGTATAGTTTGAAGTCAGGTAGAGTGATGCCTCCAGCTATGTTTTTTTGGCTTAGTATTGACTTGGCAATGTGGCTCTTTTTTTGGTTCCATATGAACTTTAATGTAGTTTTTTCCAATTCTATGAAGAAAGTCATTGGTAGCTTGATGGGGATGGCATTGAATCTGTAAATTACCTTGGGCAATATGGCCATTTTCATGATATTGATTCTTCCAACCAATGAGCATGGAATGTTCTTACATTTCTTTGTATCCTCTTTTATTTCATTGAGCAGTGGTTTGTAGTTCTCCTTGAAGAGATCTTTCAAGTCCCTTGTAAGTTGCATTCCTAGGTATTTTATTCTCTTTGAAGCAATTGTGAATGGGAGTTTACTCATGATTTGGCTCTCTGTTTGTCTGTTATTGGTGCATAAGAATGCTTCTGATTTTTGCACATTGATTTTGTATCCTGAGACTTTGCTGAATTTGCCTATGAGCTTAAGGAGATTTTGGGCTGAGACGATGGGGTTTTCTAGATACACAATCATGTCATCTGCAAACAGGGACAATTTGACTTCCTCTTTTCCTAATTGAATACCTTTATTTCTTTCTCCTGCCTGATTGCCCTGGCCAGAACTTCCAACACTATGTTAAACAGGAGTGGTGAGAGAGGGCATCCCTGTCTTGTGCCAGTTTTCAAAGGGAATGCTTGCAGTTTTTGCCCATTCAGTATAATATTGGCTGTGGGTGTGCCATAGCTAGCTCTTATTATTTTGAGATACATCCCATCAATACCTAATTTATTAAGAGTTTTTAGCATGAAGTTGTGTTGAATTTTGTCAAAGGCCTTTTCTGCATCTATTGAGATGATCATATCGTTTTAGTCATTGGTTCTATTTATATGCTGCATTATGTTTATTGATTTGCCTATGTTGAACCAACCTTGCATCTCAGGGACGAAGCCCACTTGTTCAAGTTCGATACGACTTCTGATGTGCTGCTGGATTCAGTTTGCCAGTACTTTATTGAGGATTTTTCCATCAATGTTCATCAGGGATAGTGGTCTAAAATTATTTTTTGTTGTGTCTCTGCCAGGCTTTGGTATGAGGATAATGGTGGCCTCCTAAAATGAGTTAGGGAGAATTCTCTCTTTTTTTATTGATTGGAATAATTTCAAAAGGAATGGTACCAGCTCCTCCCTTTACTTCTGGTAGAATTTGGCTGTGAATCCATCTGGTCCTGGACTTTTTTTGTTTGGTAAGCTATTAACGTTGCCTTAATTTCAGAACTGGTCTTTGGTCTATTCAGAGATTCAACTTCCTCCTGGTTTAATTATTGGGAGGGTGTATGTGTCGAAGAATTTATCCATTTCTTCTAGATTTTCTAGTTTATTTGTGTAGAGGTGTTTATATTATTCTGTGATGGTAGTTTGTATTTCTGGGGGATTGGTGGTGATATCCCCTTATCAGTTTTTATCGTGTCTATTGGATTCTTCTCTCTTTTCTTTATTAGTCTTGCTAGCAGTCTAGCAATTTTGCTGATCTTTTCAAAAAACCAGCTCCTGGATTCATTGATTTTTTGAAGAGTTTTTTTTGTGTCTCTATTTCCTTCAGTTCTGCTCTGATCTTAGTTAGTTCTTGCCTTCTGCTAGCTTTTGAATGTGTTTGCTCTTCCTTCTCTAATTCTTTTAATTGTGACGTTGGGGTGTCAATTTTAGATCTTTCCTCCTTTCTCTTGTGGACATTTAGTGCTCTAAATTTCCCTCTACACACTGCTTTGAATATATCCCAGAGATTCTGGTATGTTGTGTCTTTGTTCTCCTTGGTTTCAAACAACATCTTTATTTCTGCCTTCATTTCATTATGTACCCCGTAGTCATTCAGGAGCAGGTTGTTCAGTTTCCATGTAGTTGAGCGGTTCTGAATATTTCTTAATGCTGAGTTCTAGTTTGTCAGCACTGTGGTCTCAGAGTCAGTTTGTTATAAATTCTGTTCCTTTACATTTGCTGAGGAGTGCTTTACTTCCAAATATGTGGTCAATTTCGGAATAAATGTGGTGTGGTGCTGAGAAGATATGTATATTCTGTTTATTTGTGGTGGATCATTCTATAGATGTCTGTTAGCTCTGCTTGATGCACAGCTGAGTTCAATTCCTGGATATCCTTGTTAATTTTCTGTCTCATCGATCTGTCTAATGTTGACAGTGGGGTGTTAAAATCTCCCATTATTATTGTGTGGGAGTTGAAGTCTCTTTGTAAGTCTCTAAGGACTTGCTTTATGCATCTGGGTGTTCCTGTATTGGGTGCATATATATTTAGGATAGTTAGCTCTTCTTGTTGAATTGATCCCTTTACCATTATGTAATGACCTTGTCTCTTTTGATCTTTGTTGGTTTAAAGTCTGTTTTATCAGAGAGTAGGATTGCAACCCCTGCCTTTTTTTTTGTTTTCCATTTGCTTGGTAGATCTTCCTCCATCCCTTTATTTTGAGCCTATGTGTGTCTCTGCACATGAGATGGGTTTCCTGAATACAGCACACTGATGGTTCTTGACTCTTTATCCAATTTGCCAGTCTGTGTCTTTTAACTGGAGCATTTAGCCCATATACACTTAATGTTAATATTGTTATGTGTGAATTTGATCTGTCATTATGATGTTAGCTGGTAATTTTGCTCATTAGTTGATGCAGTTTCTTCCTGGTCTCAATGATCTTTACATTTTGGCATGATTTTGCAGTGGCTGGTACCGGTTGTTCCTTTCCATGTTTAGTGTTTCCCTCAGGAGCTCTTCTAGGGCAGGCCTGGTGGTGACAAAATCTCTCAGCATTTGCTTGTCTGTAAAGTATTTTATTTCTCCTTCACTTATGAAGCTTAGTTTGGCTGGATATGAAATTCTGGGTTGAAAATTGTTTTCTTTAAGAATGTTGAATATTGGCCCCCACTCTCTTCTGGCTTGTAGAGTTTCTGCCAAGAGATCCGCTGTTAGTCTGATGGGCCTCCCTTTGAGGGTAACCCGACCTTTCTCTCTGGCTGTCCTTAACATTTTTTCCTTCATTTTAACTTTTATGAATCTGACAATTATGTGTCTTGGAGTTGCTCTTCTCGAGGATTATCTTTGTGGCATTCTCTGTATTTCCTGAATTTCAGTGTTGGCCTGCTTTGCTAGATTGGGGGAGTTCTCCTGGATAATATCCTGAAGAACGTCTCCCAACTTGGTTCCATTCTCCTGGTCACCTTCAGGTACACCAATCAGACGTAGATTTGGTCTTTTCAAATAGTCCTATATTTCTTTGAGGTTTTGTTCATTTCTTTTTATTATTTTTTCTGTAAACTTCTTTTCTCGTTTCATTTCATTCATTTGATCTTCCATCACTGACATCCTTTCTTCTAGTGGATCGAATCGTCTACTGAGGCTTGTGCATTCATCACATAGTTCTCGTGCCACGGTTTTCAGCTCCATCAGGTCCTTTAAGGACTTCTCTGCATTCGTTATTCTAATTAGCCATTCATCTAATTTTTTTTCAAGGTTTTTAACTTTTTTGCCATGGGTTCGAACGTCCTCCTTTAGCTCGGAGTAGTTTGATCATCTGAAGCCTTCTTCTCTCAACTCATCAAAGTCATTCTCCGTCCAGCTTTGTTACATTGCTGGTGAGGAGCTGTGTTCCTTTGGAGGAGGAGAGGCACTCTGATTTTTAGAGTTTCCAGATTTTCTGCTCTGTTTTTTTCACATCTTTGTCGTTTTATCTACCGTTGGTCTTTGATGATGGTGACATACAGATGAGGTTTTCGTGTGGATGTCCTTTCTGTTTGTTAGTTTTCCTTCTAACAGGTCCCTCAGCTGCAGGGCTGTTGGCATTTGCTGGAGGTCTATGCCAGACCCTGTTTGCCTGGGTATCAGCAGCAGAGGCTGCAGAACAGCGGATACTGGTGAGCAGCAAATGTTGCTCCCTTGTCATTCCTCTGTAAGTTTTGTCTCAGAGGAGTACCTGACTGTGTGAGGTGTCAGTCTGCCCCTGATGGGGAGGTGCCCCCCAGTTAGGCTACACGGGGGTCAGGGACCCACTTAAGAAGGCAGTCTGTCTGTTATCAGATCTCCAGCTGTGTGCTGGGAGAACCACTACTCTCTTCAAAGCTGTCATACGGGGACTTTTAAGCCTGCAGAGGATTCTGCTGCCTTTTGTTTGGCTATTCCCTGCCCCCAGAGGTGGAGTCTACAGAGGCAGGCAGGCCTCCTTGAGCTACGATGGGCTCCACCCAGTTTGAGCTTCCTGGCCACTTTGTTTACCTATTCAAGCCTCGCAATGGCAGGTGTCCCTCGCCCGGCCTCACTGCTGCCTTGCAGTTTGATCTCAGACTGCTGTACTAGCAATGAGTGAGGCTCCATGGGCCTACATAGGACCCTCCGAGCCAGGCACAGGATATAATATCCTGGTGTGCCATTTGCTAAGACCATTGGAAAAGTGCAGTATTAGGGTGGGAGTGACCCGATTTTCCAGATGCCATCTGTCACCCCTTTCTTTGACTAGGAAAGGGAATTCCCTGACCCTTTAGGCTTCCCAGGTGAGGTGATGTCTTACCCTGCTCTGGCTCATGCTCAGTGTGCTGCACCCACTGTCCTGCACCCACTTTCCAACACTCTCCAGTGAGATGAGTCTGGTACCTCAGTTGGAAATGCAGAAATCTCCCATTTTCTGCACTGCTCACGCTGGGAGCTCTAGACTGGAGCTGTTCCTATTTGGCCATCATGGCTCCACCCTCAAAGTTCTTATTTTTTACTGCAGTAAGCTGAAAAATCATCCCTACTTGGTCCGAGGTTTTCTTAAAAAAAAAAAAAGTTTTGAAACCAATATGATTTCTGTCATCATTGTGATTCTCTGAGATACATAAGACTTTTACTCATTTGTCTGCGCATCAAAAAACATGAACTGAATGAATGTATATCCAATTTGTCACCCAAATGTGTTCATCTGAAAAATTCAACATTCACAAACACATAGCCAAGAAATAATGAGATAAATGGAAAGTACATGAACTCAGAACCACAAATACAATTGCTTTTGAGTCTTGGCACTAGCACTTTCTGACATGTGTCATTATATATGTCATTTAACCTTATGAAACTCAGTTTTTTATAAAAGCATATATTTATACTCACAATATTGTTGTAAGCATACTAACCAAGTTACATTTTACTGTAAAATTAAACACTAGAAGTACTTGTTGGTTTTTCAGTGCTCTTACAAAAAAATTAATAATTGTAACATTTAAAAATAAGTAGATGTGTGGAAAATAAGTTAATAATTTTCTTCTTCCAATTTCAAATATAACCACTAACAGCAGTTTGACAATAATTTTCATGGATTTTGCATATAAAACATTGGCTAAGTTTATGTTCACATTTATAAAATTGAAACCGTTATACATACGTCCATGTACACATAGTATACATGCATATTCTACAATTTGCTTTTGCTAAAATCTGTATTTTAGATTTTCTTCCAAAGCAAGACATATATCAATCTTATTTGCATTAGTAGCTACATAATAATCAATATTATATTTATACCAGGGTTTCAATGGATGTACCATTTAATCTTTCCAATTTTGAGGAAAATTCTATCATTCCAAATCTTTAGTATTAATAACAATGCTATAATAAACATGATGGTATATTTATCTTTTAATCCTGGTAATTTTATTTGTATTTAGTAAGTGGTACAAAATGTGAAAACTGGGCCAATTGCTGTAAGTACTTTGTATTGAAATTGTTTAAATACTAAATTTATGTAATATTAAATAAAATTATAGGTATTTAAATACCAAATTACTTTCCAAAAACCTTGTAGTAATTACGTTTCTTCTAGTACTTACAATGTCATCAACAATAGATGCCATTATTAGTTTTTGTTTTTGTAAACTTATGAATATATTCTCTATTACCTTAACTTCTTTTTTTTGAGAACTAGAAATTCTGTTAATTTTTACCAATCTCTAGTGTGTCAGTCTTTTTCTAGCCAGAAATGTCTGCGGCTGTGATGCCTTTGCCCAAGATCTTGTCCTGTGTAGGAAAGAATAAGGTAGAATGTAGTATACAGACAAGTGAATGGTGAACAGGAAGAAAAAAATTATTTAGTGTTAGTAGAGCTCAGAGGAATGGTTTGCTCCTCTCTGTAGGCAGGTTGTCCGGTAGAGTGTTCAGTTCTTAACAGAGGGGAAGCCCTGGAGAGGGTGGCTCTTCTCCGTGGCAGAGTCATTCAGAGGTCTCTGCAGGCCTCTGAAGCTGTCAGCAGAGACAGTAGCTCCTCTCTGTTTGTGTCCTATCTGTAACATTAAGAAAATACTGATGTTGAGCTTTAAAGTAGTATTTCACTGTATTTCTCCACTGGCAATGCTCTTATTAAAACATAAGTAATCATTTGACTTATACAGTATCATACTGTGAAATGTAATGAGAGGTGCCTACTTACAATTTTAGATTGCAATTTTGGTAATGAATATGGGCTTTGCAAGACACTCATGTAAGATGTACATCCAAAGTTTAATTTATGTTATTTGGATATTATATTATTAAATATCTAAATTCTTAAAGCATTAGCCAATGTGTTTGACTTCAGAAATGCCTGCCATATATCTGTCATATTTGTTAATCAAATGAAGTCTTGGCAGATTAAAATTTTTGCAGCTTAGAAACTTTCAAAGAAAATACAATGCCTAAACTCATAAATGGTGATACTAGCCCAAATCTTAAGTCAAGTAATATGTCATTAAGAAACACATAAACTCTTCCTTCAGAAAAATATTTTACCTAATGAAATGTTGAACGATATCTTAGAAAGTAAGTCGGTCACTGCATACTAATTTGATGTAGAAATCCAGAATATAGAAATAAGAGTAACAGTGACTCACTTTTTCATCAAACAAAAATATAGGAAGTCACCTTAAATACAAAAACCTTTTTGTAATTAAAAAAACTTGACTTTTTAATTGGCAGAAGTGTACTAAACCATCCAGATGGCAGGACTGGGCTGCATATTAGACCAAAGACACTGATGGTTAATGAAAACAGTGCATGGATGCTGTGAAATATGGCAACATAAGCTGTATAAGTAGAAGGAATCTTCCTTTCCCAATCTGCTCTTCTGCTTCTCTCCTTCAATCTCATGTGTCCTGACATTTGATGGTTGGCAGATACTTCATTCCAAGTAGTGAGGTCAGTGAGGCCAAATCTTTTTTTTGTTGTTGTTGGAGTCTCACTCCAATGATCTTGGCTCATTGCAAGTTCTGCTTCCCCAGTTCATGCCATTCTCCTGCCTCAGCCTCCCGAGTACCTGGGAAGCTGGCTCACTTTAATGTCCATGACAAATTTTTTTGCACTTTCTATTTCTTAGATTATGTGAAAGTGTTTACTAAGATCAGTTGGAAATTTGGATGTTATTAGATTTCTTCTTTGTTGGACTTTCTCACAGGAGTAAAGTACAACAGTTCGATTCTTTTTTTCAGTTGAATAAAGAGTACCGGGCTGGCACGGTGGCTCACGCCTGTAATCCCAGAACTTTGGGAGGCCAAGGTGGGTGGATCACTTGAGGTCAGGAATTCCAGCCCCCTCCTGGCCAACATGGCAAAACCCCGTCTGTACCAAAAATACAAAATTAGCTGGATATGGTGGTGTGCACCTGGATTTCCAGTTACTCTGGAGGCTGAGGGAGGAGAATCACTTGAACCCAGGAGGTGGTGGTTGTAGTGAGCTGAAAGCATGCCATTGCAGTCCAGACTGGCCAACAGAGCAAAACTCCATCACAAAAAAAAAAAAAAAGGAAAAGAAGGACTACTCCCTAATTCATTTTATAAGGCCAGCATCACCCTGATACCAAAAGCTGGCAGAGACACAACAACAACAACAAAAATTCAGGCCAATATCCCTGATGAATATTGATGCAAAAATCCTCAATCAAATACTGGCAAAATGAATCCAGCAGCATATCAAAAACCTTATCTATCACAATCAAGTCAGCTTCATCCCTGGGATGCAAGGCTGGTTCAATATGGGGAAATGAATAAACATAATTCATCAAATAAACAGAAGCAGTGACAAAACTCACATGATTATGTCAACAGATTCAACACCCCTTCATGCTAAAAACTCTCAATAAAATAGGTCTTGATGGAGCGTATCTCCAAATAATAAGAGCTATTTATCACAAACCCACAACCAATATCATACTGAATAGGCAAAAACTGGAAGCATTCCCTTTGACAGCCAGCACAAGACAACGATGACCCCTCACCACTCCTATTCAATATAGTAGTGGAAGTTCTGGGAAAGGCAATTAGGCAAGGGAAAGAAATAAAGAGTATTCTAATAGGAAGAGAGGAAGTCAAATTGTCTCTGTTTCCAGATAACATGATTGCATATTTAGAAAACCCCACCATTTCAGCATGCAATCTCATTAAGCTGAGAAGCAATTTCAGCAAAGTCTCAGAGTACAAAATCAATGTGCAAAAATCACAAGCATTCCTATACCCCAATGATAGACAGCCAAATGGTGATTGAACTCTCATTCACAATTGCTACCAAAAGAGTAAAATCCCTATGAATACAATATACAAGGGATGTCAAGGACCTCTTCAAGAAGGACTACAAATCACCACTCAAGGAAATAAGAGAGGACACACACAAATGGAAAAAATTCCATATTCATGGATAGAAAGAAATAATATCATGAAAATGGCCACACTGTACAAAGTAATTTAGAGTCCATTCTATTCCCATTCAAGCTACCGTTGACTTTCTTCACAGAATTAGGAAAACTGCTTTAAGTTTCCTAGGGAACCAAAAAAAAAGCCTGCATAGCCATGACAATCCTAAGCAAAAAGAACAAAGCTGGAGGTATCATACTACCTCAATTCAAACTAAACTAAAAGGCTACCGTAACCAAAACAGCATGGTACTGGTACCAAAACAGATATATGTATATATTGAGAGTCTATTGAATCTATACATAAATATATATATTTATACACACACCTAAATATATATGCATATATATACACATACACCTATACATAGATGCATATATATATATATATATATATATACACACACACACACACCAATGCAACACATCAGAGGCTTTAGAAATAACACCACACATCTACAAATATCTGATCTTCAATAAACTTAACAAAGCAATGCGGAGAGGATTCCCTATTTAATAAATTTTGTTGGGAAAACTGGCTAGCCATAGGCAGAAAATTGTAACTGGACCCCTTCCTTGCACCTTATACAAAAATTAACTCAAGATGGATTAAAGACTTAAACCTAAGACCTAAAAACCGTAAAAAGCCTAGAAGAAAACCTAGGCAATACCATTCAGGACACAGGCATGGGAAAAGACTTTATTACTAAAAACACCAAAACCAATGGCAATAGAAGCCAAATTTGACAAATGAGATCTAATTAAATAAAATAACTTCTGCATAGTAAAAGAAACTATTATCAGATTGAACATGCAACCTACAGAATGGGAGAAATTTTTTGCAATCTATCCATCTGACAAAGAGCTAATACCCAGGATCTACAAAATTTTACATGATTTAACCAAATTTACAAGAAAAAAAAATCTTATCAAAAAGTGGGTGAAGTATATGAACAGACACTCCTCAAAAGAAGACACTTAGGCAGGCAACAAACACAGGAAGAAAAGCTCATCATCACTGATGATTAGAGCAATGCAAATTGAAACTATGATAAGATACCATCTCATGCCAGTTAGAATGGTGATCATTAAAAAGTCAGGAAACACCAGGTGCTGGAGATAATGTGGAGAAAAAGAATGCTTTTACACTGTTGGTAGTAGTGCAAATTAGTTCAACCATTGTGAAAGATAGTGTGGTGATTCCTCAAGGATCTAGAACTAGAAATACCATTGGACCCAGGAATACCATTACTGGTTGTATAGCCAAAGATTATAAAGCATTCTACTGGTAAGATACATGCACACGTATGTTTATTATGGCACTGTTCACAATAGCAAAGACTTGGAACCAACCCAAATGCCCATCAGTGTTGCAATGCATCAAGAAAATATGGCATATATACACGTCGGAATACTATGCAGACATAAAAATCATGAGTTTATCTCCTTTGCAGGGACATGGATGAAGCTGGAAACCATCATTCTCTGCAAACTAACACAAGAAGAGAAAACCAAACACCTCATGTTCTCACTCATAAGTAGGAGTTGAACAATGAGAACACATGGACACAGGAAGGGGAACATTATACACTGGAGCATGTCGTTGGTGGGGGATAGGGGAGGGAGAGCATTAGGAAAATTACCTAATGCAGATGACGGTTTGATGAGTGCAGCAAGCCACCATGGCATGTGTATACCTATGTAACTAACCTGCATGTTTTGCACATGTACCCCAGAACTTAAATATAATAATAATTTTAAAAAGGACCTTGTTGAGAAAATTAAATTTTTAGAATTGTTGCCTTATTTGTGGTTTTGGCTTTTGAACAATCTCTAAATGTTATCTAATTACACTTTGTGCACGCGTTAGTATTGGAGATAATGCTTATTGTTAGTATTCAGAGAGAAGACTCCCAATTTATGATCAAATAATTTAGCATTGTGCATTTGGGCCATATCATTTCCATTTTAGGATGAGAGGATGCTGTTGCTAAGGACTTACTGTTAGAAGTCACAAGAAGGAGCAAACACAAAATACAGATGTGAGTTTTCTGGATACATATGTATATATGGTCCTACAAAATTTTCTTTCTTTGGTTCAACAAAGTTGTATTCGTCATACACGTCCTGTTTAGTGTTGTTGATACAATAAGGATTGAGGAGCCAGTCCTTTACCCAACAGACTTACAGTAAAATGGGAAAAATAGAGGCCTTCTCCCATTTCATTTCTCTATAACAGTAAAGAAAACTTCAGAAATAAAATCTAAAAATATGGAATTTATGTTATTATACAAATTATCTAATATATAGATTTAAATGTAATTACAAGATGTTTTAACAAAATTACATGTTATTTAGATAAATTAGAAAATATTAATAGGAGAAATATAACATATTCCAGATTAAAAGCAACATTTTTGAGATTTAAAATTTTGCTAAATTTATTTATAGATTCAATACACTCTCAATCAACGTCTCCTCATTTGCCTGTTCTATTAGTAAAGTCCATCTCATACATGAGATACCATCTTGGATAATAAAAGGCAGAGAGAAGTGAAATGAGTAAAGCGAGCATTTGAGCACTGTGCTTAAGTGACTATTTTTATTATTGCATTGTGCTAAAACAACTTTATTTCTTTTTCTTTATTTTTAATTTTTTGTGAATACACAGTCATTGTATGCATTTACTTGATTTACTGAGTACAGTTTTTCCCTATCTTGAGGTTTGAGATGCTCAGGAGGAATGCCAGGTAACTTGAATACATAATAAAGAAGTTAAGATTTATTTATACCTGAGTATAATTCGGATACATGTAAGACTTCATATAAAGTTCTTAAAATATATATCTAATTTGCTTATAAAAAGTTGAAACATTTTTTGTCTTTTTAAAATCACTGCTCAATTTGTCATCATTCTTCATTTTCAGTATTTCTGTTATAAAATTTTATTTTTAATTTGGGCATGGAAACACAGGAACAGTAACATAAATTCTATGGCAATCATGCATCCCACTATCTCATGTGATACCATTAGAAAAGAAGTGCAGTGCATAAACAAATTCATTTAATATGATATTTTCATTTATTTAAGTGTCTTGATCTAGATTAAAATTGATGAATATAAGCAAGAATCCAAGGCAAGGATGCAAAATTTTGACCAATTCATGAACATTGCTAACATTTTAATCTTTATTATTTTGAGATAAAAATTATGGGTTTTAGATTTGTAAACTCTGTAATTTGTAAAAATTCATATATGTGTCGATATCTATCTACCATCTATCTACATATACAACTTAACAATAAAGCTATAGATAAAATGACTGAACTTTATATTATCTTCGCAGTGTGCAATATTTTCCTGGGCATTATAGGCTTTATTTAGTCCATTTCATACACCATGATTTCACAGTAATATGCAAATATATTTCTTAATAAACCACTTTACATTATTAATCAGCTATATACCTGAACACAAACATTGAGATAAAGACCAAATAGAACAATTTTTAATAAAAAATCCAATGCATCACCATACTCTGTGTTCTAATGAGGTGCTACTGTGGATTTAAAATTATTTTTAATTGCAAATCTGAAGTATTTTTGAAGCTAATTAACTTCTGCAGTTTCCTAGAGACATCTTATTCCTTTTGCTTAGCAGGTATGTGTATGTCTTAGGGAAGAATTTAGCTGAGGTTGTATATGATTAGATTGATTAAATATGCATTCTGCTTTATAAATACAATTTTTATGTGTATTAGTTGGGTACCTATTTCTAAAAACGTAGAGCTTTTCTTTATTTCATGCTGTTTGCTCCTGTCTGCCAGGGATTTGAATAGAGAAACTAGCTGTGTTCATGAAATTGTGAATATATTCCTAAACATGTTCTTTACCTCATCTATGATATTTTGCACCAAGAGAGCCAACGCACTGCCCATTTCATTAGTGAACATAATTTTTTTTTTGAGTTGGAATCTCGATCCCCTCATGGAGGCTGGAGTGCAGTGCTGTAATCTCAGCTCACTGCAACCTCCACCTCCCAGGTTCAAGCAATTTTCCTGCCTCAGCCTCCCGAGTAGCTGGGATTTCAGGCATGTGCCACTGTGCCTGGCTAATTTTTCTATTTTTAGTAGAGATGGGGTTTCCCCATATCGCACAGGCTTGTCTCAAACTCCTGAGGCCTCAGGAGTTTGGCCTCAGCCTCCCAAAGTGAGCCATTACAGGCATGAGCCACCACACCTGGCCAAAGAAATATTCTGTTTCTACTTTTTGCTTATACTGTCCATACAGTTTCTCTTCTTCATGCCTTCTCTACTCAATAAATACATATCACACCATCTTTCTGCGTAAATCTTTTAAATTTTTGCTTCCTCATCTCCTATGCCATCTCTGAAAGAAATGATTCTGTTCTGCTGTCCTCATCCCTCTCTCCATTCAACCTTCATAATACTACCATAC
Source organism: Homo sapiens (assembly GCF_000001405.40). Lineage (NCBI taxonomy): Eukaryota > Metazoa > Chordata > Mammalia > Primates > Hominidae > Homo > Homo sapiens. The sequence goes on along the minus strand of NC_000024.10, from coordinate 8,185,070 downwards.
CTCTGTATCTCTCCCACAGCACCATTCACTTTCTATTTTCTAGCATGGTTAATCAACTTTACAAACATTCCTTGAGGGAGGGATTTCCATCTAATTTATTTATTTTTTTCCTCCCACAAAACTAATAGTTTGTGTGCAATTGGTGCTCAATAAACACTTTAAATGAGTTAGTTATTCAAGATAGAGAACATAAATAAATAATAGTAAATATATTATTTAACGAATGAATGAATTTTCCTTTCTCTTTAAGCTTTTTAACCAAGGGTCCTGGATATATTCTGGGTTCTTACCTGCAAATAGAAGAATCTAGTTTGATTAGATTAGACAAAGAAAAAATAAAGTATATAATCTCACAGAATCTCTGAAAAGACTAGAGAGCCCTAGCTCCCTTGTCAGGAACAAAGCCCGAGCATACAGCTGTTGTGGGAAGTCAGGGACCCCAAACGGATGGACCTGCTGAAGCCATGGCAGAAGAATGTAAATTGTGAAGATTTCGTGAACATTTATTACTTCCCCAAATTAATATTCTTATAATTTCCCATGCCTGTCTTTAGTTTAATCTCTTAATCCCATAATCTTCCTAAACTGAGGATGTATGTTGCCTCAGGACCATGTGATGATTGTGTTAACTGCACAAATTTTTCCTAAAGCATGTATGTTTGAACAATATGAAATCTAGGCACCTTGAAAAAGAACAGGATAACAGCAATTTTCAGGGAACAAGGGAGATAACCATTGGATCTGACTGCCTGGGAGCTGGGCAGGAAAGATCCATACTTCTCTTACTGCCGGAAACGGGTAAGAGAAGTATCATTGAATTATTTCCCCAGTAAGGAATATTAATAATTAACAGCCCTGGGAAAATAATGCATTCCCATGGGCAGGCCTCTAAAATGGCAGCTCTAGGAGTGGCTGCCTTATGCACTTGCAGATAAGGAATGAAACACCCCCTAGTCTCCTGCAGTGCCCCAAGGCTTGCTAGGATTAGGAAATTCCAGCCTGGTGAATTCTAGTCCGACTGGTTCTCTGCTCTTGAACCCTGTTAAGATGTTTATCAACGACAATGCATGCACAGAGGGACATGGAACTTCATTAGTAATTCCAGTTTTGCCCTGACCTTGCGATATCATCCTGACTTTCTGCCTTCTGATCTTTTATTGCCCTTGAAGCATGTGGTCTCTGTGACTCACACCCTATTCATACACTCCCTCCCTTTTGAAAATTGCTAAGAAAAACTTGCTTGTTTTATGGCTCGGGGGTATCACGGAACCTGCCAACATGTGATGTCTCCCCTGGACATCACAATTTCTCTCTTTTGTACTCTTTCCCTTTATTTCTCAGACCAGCCAATACTTAGGGAAAATAGAAAAGAACCTACATTGAAATATTGGGGGCTGGTTCCCCACATATACAGCAGATGCTAATGTATGGAAAATATCATCCATCCCTACCAACTGCTCAGCACTCATGAGATGCAAAGCTGGATCACAAGACTCAGTTAATGTCATCCCTTGGGCTGAACACAAGTTTTAGCTAGATTCTACAGAATTAATGTGTGTATCTTCCTAGCACCCACTATGAATACCTCAAAAAACTATTGCTTGTGAAAAACCAAGTATGTTTAGCAAGTCATGATACAACTGTAGTCATTCATCAGTGGTCACAGACTCACATTTAAGCATAACTTTAAAGGTGTTATGGACCTGACACTTATTGTTCTGAATCAACATTAACCTCATGAAGACGAAATGGAGATTAAAAGCCTGTAACTACCCACCAGCTAGGTACACCACTATCAGTCATGATGAAAATGCCTCTGGGTTTTCATATCAGGGCATATTGCCCACCTGAGAAGGTAATAATCCTGAGAAATGACAGTTCAACTTCCATGTCTTTATAGTCCCCAGCAATCACTCAACCACATCAAGAGCATGCCAAACTATCCTCGGGTTTCATTGCTGACTTAGCAAACCAGTGGACTGAGAGAAATAACAATTCAAGTTAAAGATGAGTGCAGTGGATGTTAAGCAATATGACTTGTCAGTCATAAAATGAGGTGAAAATAGTGTGACAAGGATAACCTCCAGTATAAAGAACAGAAGTATTTGATTTTGACAGCGTTCATCTTAGAAAAAATATCCTGATATAGTTTCCACGAACATCTGATGTAATCTTATAGTTTCTTACTGCAGTAAAACAAGTCAGGTAGATATGCTAGTCTTTTCCTTAAAAGTGTAAAGACTCTGAAAAGGCTAGAGAGCCCTAGTTCCCTTGTCAGGAACAAAGCCCAAGCATACAGCAAGAGAAAACTCCAAAAAACCTGAAATACCAAAGTCTGAGCACAGTGAAACTGGCATGGGGCATAAATCATTTAATTACTATTGAGCCTTAGGTTCCTCAGCTCATTTTTAATCCCTGAATCTTTTAGACACCACTGTTCTTCATAAAATCACACACTTCATAAGAATTAAGAATTATTCTTAATTTTTGGCTGCCTATGATATCCCTTGTCTCCCGTATCCATTCTTATTTTTTCATACAACAGAATTTTTGGCTTATTAGATAGCTGCACATAGCAATACATTATATTCCAGCTTTGCCTGAAGTCAGATTATAACCATGTGATAAATTTCTGTCTGCTGAAATATATCAGAAAAGGTTTGTGCAACTTCTGGGCTATGCCTTTCAAAGGAGGGAGCTGTCATTCCATCTTCCTTATAAATCATCTGGCTGGCCAGAATGTGGTCATGACTGCAGGAGTCAGAACAGCCTTCCTGCACCATAAGATGTTGTCTGTTGAAGATAGCAGAACAACAAAACAGAGGGAATGTAGGTCTCTGAAAATGTTGAGGATTAGAGCCACCACATCAGCTTAGAAATGTATATAAGAGAAAAATTAGCTTCTGTCTCATTTAAAACTACAATTATATTTTAATGAAGCACAACTCATTGATTGCACTGGTGCTACTATCCCTACCACTATTGTAAGGGCAATCTTTACTACAGAATTAAATAAAGTTATCATGACAGGTTATCAGAAACAAACTAGATGAGTATCTTGCCATTCCCATCTCATATTTGTCAACTTAGATGACAAACAGATGAATGCTAGAATTTAAAACAAATATCAAATTAAAATTTCACACAATTTCATCAGAACCATGCCTAGGTTTTGGTTTTGCTTTGATTCTCCATTCAGCAGTGAAAGAAAAGAGACTATTTCAATAATTATTATATCTACATTACTTATTCTAATAATTTAATTTTAAAATAATTTAAGAATATACATATTTATAAAATTATTAACTTAAAAACTGTGGTTTAACAAAAATATGTATTCTATGATATGCTTTTTGCTTAAAATATATATTTATGTAGTCATGCATATTTGTATGAATGTGTCAATGTTTTTTCAAAGAAAAATTATGAAAGTTTACACAATGACTTCTCAGTTATGCCCTCTGGGAGAGCAATTAAAGATGGTAAGTGAACAACTTTGGCTTTTTTTATTGTATACTCATGTATTAATTAAACTTTTCAATGAGCATTGGTCTTGATCAGCAGCCTGAGAACAGACTAATACAGTAAATTGTTACCAGGAGTGGGGTGCTGCCGAAAAGATACCTGAAAATATGGAAATGACTTTGAAACTCGGTAATATGCAGATATTGGAATAGTTTGGAGGGCTCAGAAAAGGAGAGAAAATGTGGGAAAGTTTGGAACTTTCTAGAGACTTGTTGAATGCCTTTGACAAAAATACTGATAATGCTATGAATAACAGGACCAGGCTGACATGGTCTCAGATCGAGAGGAGTAACTTGTTGGAAACTGCAGCAAAGGTGACTCTTGTTATACTTTAGCAAAAAGACTGGCAGCATATTGCTCCTGCGCTGCAGACTTGTGAAACTTTAAACTTGAGAGAGAAGATACAGGGTAGCATTCTCAGGGGGTATGCCTGCAGCTGCAGGAAGATGTATGGGAACAGACAAACAACTCTCCCTCCCAGATAAGCACAACAAAGAGACACATAGCCTGTCCAAGCTTCTGATATAACCTTCCACCCTGAATCCTTAGAAACTCTTAGTGTATAAGAGATTGTCCCTTGAACTAACTCGGTCAGAAAACCCTCTCTGGTTTGTTTTCTTTAAAATAAACTTGGCACTGACTGTCAAGCCACCTTTCAGGTTTCTCTCCTCCTTCTTCCACTCTTACATTTGGTGCCAAAACCTGTGACTGGTGCTGGCAGCAGAGGCTGTCTTGCAACCCAGGAGGCAGTGGGCAATGGCAACTCATTCTGAGTTAACTCCTGTATCCTAAATGTCTCTGGCCACCTGTCCTATCTTTTCTCTTGCTTCACTTTTCAAGTGATTTGTGTGAGGACAACTAACTTGAAGGGGCTGTGAGGCTCAGGTCAAGGCTACTACCCTGTGGGCTCTCAAATCACTCAGGTCTCAGGAATCCACCTCTGACCACCTGCAATGCGTATTTTGCTCCCTAACCCTCCCTTGCCCTCTCTTCCTCCATCCTCCCTCTCTCTCTCTCTCTCTCTCTCTCTGTCTCTCTCTTCCTTAAACGGCTACACTGTGGGAGGCCCTTTGCCAACCAGAGCCAGAACATCCAACATCAGATAGTAATTCAGATGACTGGTGATATCTGCCTGCTCCAGGATCTCTCCAGGCTAGAGAAAATCTGGCCTGCATTCCAGGTCCTGGGAGGTGCAGTGGGACTATGCGGCTGAGCTACAGGAAATCTTGGCAACCAGTTCCTTCTCAGCTTGACGGTCCCCTTTTGGTAAGTCGATTCTGGATCTCTGTCTTTTGTCTGGGAATACCTAGAACAAAGCAGACACCATCAGCTTCCTCTTACCAGTCTACATGGGTGCCAAACAATTTCACATCCTTACATCCTCCCAACTGGACTGCAATATTCACAACCTAGCCAAACTTGGCTTATGGTGGACCTTAAAGCCAAAGCATTTAATTTTCTACTGCAACATGTTCTTAACAATTTTATTACCAGAAATGGCAAATGACAAGATATTTCCCCATATTCAGACTTTCTTCTACTGTCAACCTCACCCCTCCTCCTTCTCTCCCTGTTCAAAAACTACTCCAACCAGTTAAACCTTCTCTGCCATTCTCTCTCTCTGGGAAGTGGCTAGGGTTAAAGGCAGTCCTCACATCCACGTCCCCTTCTCCAAGTCTAATTTGTGGCAAATGGAACAGCTTCTGGGATTTTTCTCTAAAAATCCCTCTCATTATCACAGGAAATTCCTGTACATAACCCAATCCTTTAATTTAACTTGGCATAACATTTACGTAATTCTAATATCCACCCTTACCCTTAATAAAATAAGAGTGCTCAGCTTAATTAAACTGGATATGTAAGCTATAAATATATTCAAAAGGCCTTTATGTTTTTTTCTTCATAAATCTTGTTTTCCTGAAAAACTTTCTTTCTCAGTCAAAATTACTTTTCTTCACTCTGCCTTGCCACTCAGTCCATGCATAAAAGACCCCAGAATAACTTCTGGTGGCCTAGGAATCTCTAGTAAGATAGAAAACTTGTCACAAATCCCATCTTGAAAAAGATAACTCTTCTCCTTATGGAACCCCTGGAATTAAAGGTGAATAGTACCTCTCAAAAATCTTTGTCTTCCAGCTATGCTTGTTTATTAGGCCCCAAAATTTGTTTACCTAGCCCTTCTCTTTCTTAAAGGGCCTCACCCAGAGGCCAATAATCCAATCTGGAAATTAGCAAATGGAAATCTTACAACTACTGAATCTTGTTCTGGTTGTCTGTGTGGCTATATATGTGTTATGTATGTTATGTCTATTAAAAAGAACTCTAATAAATTAATTGTCCTAAGAAAAGAAAGTGCTTAAATCAAATATTTTTAAGGAAAATGTTAAGCAAAGTAATACTGTGTATATTGCCATTTTACTTTATTCTTCTGTTGAAGCAAAATTGTGGGGTATCATTACGCATGTGTGCTTTTGCTAGATGTCCCAGTTGGCTGTGCTGAGATATACCAGCACTATTTGTGGCATAAGTCTTAATTCTTAGGTATTTTCGCCAGCTCTAACATTGTTTTGCAAAAATATACTAAACTGTATTGCACAGTTCAAAATCTAATTACTTAAGGGATCAATCCAGGTGTTGTTATTGGTCTTAAATTGAATACCAAACAGAGGACATCTCTATTATCACTATATTAATGTTCAAAGGTTTTTCTTTGACATTTTAAACCATGACAACAGGTATTCACATTTGATGTTTATAAAAACAACATCTTTATTAATAATCTTATTATCAAGTTTCATAAGCCATGTTTATCAAAACAAGTTTATATCAAATTCAGCTTGCCAGAAATGGTAGTATTAAAGTATATCGATGTACTATGTAAATCATTCACTCGTACCAATGGGGAAAATTTAGTATTATTGTGCTTCACAGTAAAAACAAGAACAGTCTTTCATTTTTAAAATTAGATTAGGAAGTGTTACATAACTTAGCATGTTAGTAGTGTATACACTAGCATTAGTTTATACACTACTTTTGCCACTGGGCAGTTTAAGTTAAAATGTCCCTCAGTCATATAAGCTCTGGAATACATCTTTCATTTTTAATTTCTGCATTAATAATTGAATAGTTTGGATCTAGGTTATTTTCATTTATACTATAAAACAAAAGCTATTTAAATTTATATTTAATTTTTGTATTTAGAATATTGCACATTTTCTGTATGTAAGTCATTCAGACTAGTATCCATATAGGGTCAGTCAAATCCAACCACAGATTTGAGTTATTATACTGTATAACTCTATACATAGATACATAGAAATATTATTACTTTGCCTTTATAAAGGAACCCAAGTGTCTGTTTCAATTTATGAATTCAGCATTTGAGTAAAGTGATTTTGATTCCCAAAATTAGGGAAAAAATGACAAAATAATGGGAGAAGAAGGAACCAGGCCTTAGTGCCACATATTGTGGTTGTAACGTGGAGTCTCATTCTTTCCAGAATGCTTTATTTTATTTCACTTATACACCTGACTGTCTGTGTCAATGTTTACTCCTCATGCTGAAGCTCTAGCTTACAGAGGCAAAGGAAAGTTGTCTTCATTGAATATATTCATCGCTTTAACAAGATAATAAAGAAACACAATTTAGGATTCAAGCTGAGTAAGAATACTCTTTCAATGAACATGTCCCTAAGATAACCAGAATTAGCAGTTAATTTATGCAGGCATTTGTAATCCAAGCTACTTGGGAGGCTGAGGCAGCAGAATCCCTTGTATCCAAGGGGTGGAGGTTGCAGCGACCTGAAATCCAGCCATTGTACTCCAGCCTGGAGAGAGAGCAAGACTCTGTCTCAAAAACAAACAAACAAACAAACAAACTTAATAGGCTTTAAAGTTAAAAATTACTAAAAAATACCATTATAACATGTAATTAAACTGCTAAACATGGATTTGTGTAAAAGGTGTATAAAAACAGTAAAAAATGTTTTTTGTTAAAAATTATAAGAAGGCATAACTATATATTTTGCTTAAGAGTAAAACAAAGTCTTAAAATTAAATAAAGTAAAGTGGATGGTTTAAGGCAATTGTTAAAACATTGTAAATGTTAATCTTGCAAAGAAAACTCTGTGTGTAAACATATAAACTGAACTTAAAAGGGTAGAACATCAGGAAAAAAATGTAAATATGATTATTTAACATGTTTAGGTACATAAAATTGCCAAAAACAATATCTGATAGGTTATGTTTTAGGAAATAATATTAAAATATGTTCCAAAGCTGGATGCCATGTCTAAGGTTCTAGTGTCTAAATATGTGCTATTAATCACAATTAAAGTTGTTATGCTGGGTTATTTTGAACCACAATGACCAAATTTATTTGTCAATTGTGTTTCTAACTGTATCCAAACTGGACATTTTGGTATTTACAGACAGTTGTTACTGTGTTAAATTCTCTTCAAAAGATGGTTTATTACTGAGCTGTGAACATTTAACAATTGCTCTCATAGGAGGATTTCTCACACAACAAGAACAAAACTACAGAATACATGAAAAGCTAAAATGGTTATAAATATCAACCAAAACAAAATGGACTAAATTACAAAAAACAAAAACAAGGTTTAAACCTTTTGCTTACAACACTGCTAATCTTTACCTTATGTTTCAGAGTCAACAAAATTTGTCTTAAGCTAGCTACAGCCTTTAACAACTAAGTAAAGTACACTGCTGTAAATGGAAATTAAAGTGTGTTTGTTTCTCTCTTCCTAGTTCCTCTAGAATTTGAAAACTAGTTATAAGTGTGCTTAAACTACAACAATATAGTTGTTTGCATTTTTTCATGTGTTTTTTGTTTGGCTGCATAAATGTCTTCTTTTGAGAAGTGTCTGTTCATGTCCTTCACCCACTTTTTGATGGGGTTGTTTGTTTTTTTCTTGTAAATTTGTTTGAGTTCATTGTAGATTCTGGATATTAGCCCTTTGTCAGATGAGTAGGTTGCAAAAATTTTCTCCCATTATGTAGGTTGCCTGTTCACTCTGATGGTAGTTTCTTTTGCTGTGCAGAAGCTCTTTAGTTTAATTAGATCCCACTTGTCAATTTTGTCTTTTGTTGCCATTGTTTTTGGTGTTTTAGACATAAAGTCCTTGCCCATGCCTATGTCCTGAATGGTAATGCCTAGGTTTTCTTCTAGGGTTTTTATGGTTTTAGGTCTAACATTTAAGTCTTTAATCCATCTTGAATTGATTTTTGTATAAGGTGTAAGGAAGGGATCCAGTTTCAGCTTTCTACATATGGCTAGCCAGTTTTCCCAGCACCATTTACTGAATAGGGAATCCTTTCCCCATTGCTTGTTTTTCTCAGGTTTGTCAAAGATCAGATAGTTGTTAGACATGCGGCGTTATTTCTGAGGGCTCTGTTCTGTTCCATTGGTCTATATCTCTGTTTTGGTACCAGTACCATGCTGTTTTGGTTACTGTAGCCTTGTAGTATAGTTTGAAGTCAGGTAGTGTGATGCCTCCAGCTTTGTTCTTTTGGCTTATGATTGACTTGGCAATGCGGGCTCTTTTTTGGTTCCATATGAACTTTAAAGTAGTTCTTTCCAATTCTGTGAAGAAAGCCATTGGTAGCTTGATGGGGAAACAACAGGTGCTGGAGAGGATGTGGAGAAATAGGAACACTTTTACACTGTTCGTGGGACTGTAAACTAGTTCAACCATTGTGGAAGTCAGTGTGGCAATTCCTCAGGGATCTAGAACTAGAAATACCATTTGACCCAGCCATCCCATTACTGGGTATATACCCAAAGGACTATAAATCATGCTGCTATAAAGACACATGCACACATATGTTTATTGCAGCATTATTCACAATAGCAAAGACTTGGAACCAACCCAAATGTCCAACAATGATAGACTGGATTAAGAAAATGTGGCACATATACACCATGGAATACTATGCAGCCATTAAAAATGATGAATTCATGTCCTTTGTAGGGACATGGATGAAATTGGAAATCATCATTCTCAGTAAACTATCGCAAGAACAAAAAACCAAACACCGCATATTCTCACTCTTAGGTGGGAACTGAACAAGGAGAACACATGGACACAGGAAGGGGAACATCACACTCTGGGGACTGTTGTGGGGTGGGGGGAGGGGGGAGGGATAGCACTGGGAGATATACCTAATGCTAGATGATGAGTTACTGGGTGCAGCGCACCAGCATGGCACATGTATACATATGTAACTAATCTGCACATTGTGCACATGTACCCTAAAACTTAAAGTATAATAATAAACAACAACAACAACAACAACAATATAGTTGTTTGCATAAGTTCAATAATAATCTATTTTCTTTTGTAGCAAAACACAATTGGAAAAACTGGTTATTTTACCAAGGCTTTGACAGGAATGGTATGGTCTCCTTTAAGGAATCAAACTTAACTTATGAAGCCAAGAAAGCCCTTGGAAAACTAGCCTCATATCTTGTGTACACAGTCCCTGTACAGGGTTTCTGATTTGTGGTAAGTAAAGAATGTCATTTTCTGACAGGCCAGGAAATGCAAGTTATCTTAAAACCTCAAGAGGAGAGGGATTCACCCAACTCATAGGTATTTAATGGTACAAATCAATGTCTGGGCTTGGCTTTAAGAAGTCATATCTGAAATTCCTTCTATTATGCAAATTTCCATCAAAGCTGACTTAAAAGGCCTGTGTAGCAAATAATTACTCTTGCTGCACTGTATAGGCTTTATATTAAAGTTAAAAGTTACTAAAAAAATACCATTATAACATGTAATTAAACTAATTAAGCCAAGTACAGTAAAGGCAAACTGTCCTACCATGATTTCTCTTTTAATAAAAAATGGGAAATTGAAGAGAGAAAAATATGTTTCAAAAACTATAGCGAACCTGTTGCTATATTCTAATCTGCCAAATCATTTTTCAATTTTTACTATATTCTACAGTTTAAATTATTTGCATTACAGAAATCAACTCCTAGATACTACATACTCAAGCCAAAACCTAAAGAGCTGAGAAAGCAACCCCTAGCAGCCCATTAAAAACATCCTAAATATGAAAGTAAAAAAATAAGAAATCTTAAGCCAAAAATCATAAAATATAATTAAGTCAAAATTACTCATCTTAGTCTCAACCCTACTTTACCAAATACTTTTTGTCATTCATATGTGTCCTTTAAGCCAGATATTAAAACTTTTTGGTGTTGTTGTTTTTTAATTGAACGTATTTACTAAGCCAACCTTATGGGAACTGCTTTCTTCACTCTCCTATTTGCAGTGGGACTATATTCTGTGGCACCCTAAGGGTGAAATATCGAACAAAGAATCTAAATTACTGTAGCATTTTGTTTACTTAATATCATCATAGCAGATATAACAGTTACTAATAAAACAATAACACAACAGTCTTTCCAAACATGTGCCTCTGCCTGCCATTGGGAAAGAAATGTTGATTCTGTCTCAATGAATCAGGCCTAATAAGAAACACTGCTGAAAAGCCTAGGACTAATGTTCTTACCCTGCCTTGATAACCTTTTCCAAAAATTTTTAACTGACAGAATCAAGGCCATTTCGCAGACAACTACCCTAAAATATCTACAGATGGTGTTGCTTCTGTAATCAATCCAAGATCAAAAAACCCTCTCCACCCCACCCCCTGATTAGCAGGAAGTAACCAGAAAGAACTGGTTGCCCCTCATTCTTTTGCAAGCAAAGGATCTCGAATGACAGAGCAAGGGCACCATCATCTTGGGCAAACACCAACAACTGAAGATCCAGTTTCCTCTCTAACCTCATGCATTTCAAATAAATCACTTGTCTTCTAACAATAAGCAGTCAGAAAGAGCAGACAGATAAACACAGATAAGACAGCTGGGGCAGAGAGGGAGGTAGGGGAAAGTCTCTTGAGTCACTATCAGACTTCACCCTCACACACCAGACACCAGTAAAACAGTGGGCTTTTATAAGCACATTGCTTTCCCTTCAGGTGCACTAAGACAGGGAGGCTAAAAGCAGTCTCAAGCGGTATGTCTGCAGCTGCAGAAAGATGTATGGAAGCAGACACACAACCCTCCCTCCCAGAAAAGCACAACAAAGAGACATAGAAGCAGTTGAAGCCTCTGATAAATTCTCCTGCCATGAATCCTTAAAAATTCTTAATCTATAAGAGAGTGTGGCTCTGTCTCAACTTGGCCAGAAGCCCCTATCACATTTGTTTTCTAAAATAAATCTCTCCTTGTTAACACTCAAGCCACCCTTTGTGTTTCTTTCCTCTTTAATTCTTACAATTATAGTCTTAACAGTATTCTCAAAAGTATAAATAGTTTGGGGACAAAAAAATGTGCACATCATGAAAACTCCTAGTAGATCCACATATTTTCATTCACTAGACTATTTATTCATTAGTTATTTATTGAGCACCAGTTATTAAGGCACTATATCTTAATAGTTCTAGGCATAAAATGATGAACAAGTAAGAATAACCTTTGATCCCTGTATTTTCTATATTACCAGAAAACAATGAACAAGTACATTAACGAACAAAATAATTTCAGATTGTCTTAAGCACTGTTAGAAAAATAAGCAAGGTGCTGAGTGAGCAATAATTTGCTTGAGAGAATGGAAGGTCATTTCAAAAATCTTTCAACAAGAAGGTTAGGAAATTCCTCATTGGGGGTGACTACAGCCTAGACCTAAAGGATGAGGAAAAAACTGGGTGTGCAAAGATTCAGAAAAATAGAATGAGAAAAAAAGACCCTAAAGGGAGGGGCATTGATTTCATATGTGTTTTAGATAACAATGAACCTGGGGGAAAGGGCATAAGTTGACATTGTAAGATAGAAGAGGAGGGGAAGCCAGACCCTTCAAGTTTGGGTAGGAAGTTTGTATTTTATTCTCAGTGAAAAGGAAACATTTTTGAATAGTTTCAAGAAATTTTTTACATAGCCCCGTTTAGGTCTACATAAAAGTAAGTATTTTATGAGAAAAAAATATTTGTGGGCTTGTTAATCAATATATTATTTGCCCTAATTAAACATTAGTTTCTAGAAGCCTGAGGTTGTACTATGAAGATCCTAGCCTATCTAACACAAATTATAGATATTTAACATTAGCAAAAGTGCAGAGAAGGCACAAAATATAATAACCAAAGAGGAATTTTGTGTAGACAGAGAAGGAATGTAATGCAAATTTTTATGGACACATGATATCTTGGAAGAAGGAAAAGACAGTGGAGAAGAAAGCAAAAAGTAGGCCAGGTGCAGTGGCTCATGCCTGTAATCCCAGCACATTGTGAGGCTGAGGTGGGTGGAGCACGTCACGTTGGGAGTTCAAGACCAGACTGTCCAACATGGAGAAACCCCATCTCTACTAAAAATACAAAATTAGCCAGGTGTTGGGTGCATGCCTGTAATCCCAGATAACTCCAGAGACTGAGGCAGGAGAATTGCTTGAAACCAGGAAGCAGAGGTTGCGGTGAGCCGAGATTGCCCTATTGGACTCCAGCCTGGGCAACGAGAGCAAAACACACAAAAAGAAAGGAAAAAAGAAAAATAGTAAACCATAAGGGGCATAGGTTTTTCCTACCCTTCTGAAATCCCAGAGTCAGAGATGTGGAGTTAAAGGAAAGTTTTGCCCCCTTGTGATTTGATCTCTGTAAAAGAACTTCATCATGTGGTGTTTGTGGCAGCACAGGTCACCCATGCACTGAAAGAGTAAAATGAAGGCATGGCATTGTTAAGCAGAGAGAGAATACTGAGAGAAGTTTCTGAGATGTCCTTATGTAGGTGACCAAGGATAGGACTCTGATGTGCTCACGTGTGTCCTGGAAGAGATGGAAGAGAACTCAGTGCAGTGCTAGGAAGCATTCCCAGGGCTACCCTGACAAGAGATAAGGTAGTCATGGTGCTGAAGCCACCACATAAACAGAATAGGTGGGCATCTAATAGAGGGTTTATTCATTTATTTTAAATTTTTGAAAATAAAAGAAGAGCACAGCTAACTCCTGAATTATCCAACACAAGTCAAAAATTTATGCTGTCACTCAGAACAGAGCACGAGAATCTCAGAATGATCCAGAAATCCTACAGTGAAGATCTGGGTGCAACCAGGGACCCAAAGGTCACGCCAGGAGTCCCCATCTCTTTTCCATTTTGCAAGGGCAAGTGTTCCACTTGTGCCCCTCCTCACATTCTCATTTGCTACTTTGGGACTTATAAGTGGCACCCTGTGAAACAAAGCTCTTACCTGAAAAAAAAATTACACAATAGTGTTAGATACCATTAATTAGCCACTTAAAACCACCACCATAATTTTGTCAGGGTCAGGGCTTGTGAGGAAGATTAGGTTGATAAGACACAACCAAAACTTTCAAGTACTGCTACATCACAGTTGTTCTATGTGTAAATCTGTAGCACTACCACAACACTTAGATTTAATGTCCTTCCATCTATTTCAGTTCATTCACCCTTCATATGTAATTGGTACAGTTTTAAAAATACATACTTAAGATATGTGAACTGCTTTCAACAAAGGAATGTAAAATGAAAAGCATTCTGATCCAGAGTAAAAAATTATGTTTTGTGGCTGATGCTGTCTCTGCTGCCAACTGGCTCTGTATCCTAGGCCAAGTCATTTAATATCTCTGGGCATTCTTTTTCTCCAGAAAATGAGGAGACTCGACTAAATCATTGCTGAGGTCTATTTTGATTTCTGAAGTCTTTCACTCATGGGAGTGCTAAAATAAAGACTGCCAAGATGATTGTGGTTAGATTGGCATTAATCATGAAACCATGTCAATAACTGTACAACCATTTAGTGAGTCCAGGCCATTTGCCTGGCACAAAGTCAGTCATTTAACATAGGTTATTTCTAGTCATCTAAACAACCATATGAGGAAATAGTTCAGAGGCTTTGTAATTTGCTCTATGCTACACAGTTGGTAACTGGCATAGCCAAACTTCTAACTTATGTTTTCTCTGAAGTTTCTAAATGATTATATGGTAATACTTACATTCCATCTTTTTACATTGTTTGATTTGGAGATAACAGCTTCCAAGCATTGCAAAAATCTTCTACATCACCCAAGCTACCCATTCTCTCTGAAGTTATTTTGATAGCATTGCGGCAAAGCAATCTATGTCCTAACTCATGAAGAGCTCACTTAGGTCATTCATTTAGCACTTATTTTCAAAGCTAACACATTTTTCTAATCTCCTGTAACTATCACCTGTGTCCCTGCAACAAAACTTTAAATGCTCTGAAGGAATGTCAAGAAATGCTTGTAAGGGGTGTGGCATCAACAGGGCTGGAACTAAAGTGAAGAGAGTAAGGTGCCTGCCATCAAAACCTCAAGAGGTCTCACTGTCAGGATGTCACCAGTGCTGGGTCAACTCAGCTTGTTCTGTCCATAGCAGCTGGTGGATGGCTAGCTCACTGAGATGGTCTGAATGAAGTTGAGCAACCTTAGTTCTCAGCTGTTACCCCCACTGCTTTGGCTGCCCACAGAGACCATATGTAGTGCCTGGAAAATCAAACTATTGGAAACAAAACTGAAGTCCAGAAGGCAGAGTAGAGAAAAGCCAGTGGAAATGCCTTCCTTGATAGCATATTATTATAGTGTAAGGACACCAAAGATCTGAAACAAAAACTCACTCAGTCATTCCCTAGAGCTGAAAGCCCCAGTAATATAATGTTGTAAATGGAAAGATGTTTGAAGAAATTCCTTTAGATTGTTTCAGCCCTTGACCTACGCAGGTTATTGCCATAGCAAAATATCACACACTTGCTGACACTTGGTGACGTTATTAAAAAAAAAAAACAAAAAACAGAAATTTATTGTTTCAAAGTTCTGGAGGCTGGAAGTCTAAGTCAAGATGTCAACAGCTTTGATTTTTTTCTGAGACCTCTGTCCTTGGCTTGCAGATGGCAGCCCACCCTTTGTGTGTTTCCATGATCTTATCTCTGTGCTAATGCATTCCTGGTGTACCCTTGTGTGTCAAAATGTCCTCCTCTCATAAGACACCAGTGAGATTGGAATAAGGCCATAATCAACAACTTTAGTTTAACATAATTACCTTTCTAAAGTCCTTATTTCAAAATACAGTAATGATGTAATGGTGTTAGGACTTTAATATGAATGGGTAGAGGGCTTGGGAATTCAGCCCATAATACCATGAGTCTGGTAAATTGTAAGCTGTCACATAGGCAGATACAGTCATAATGACTAGCAGAATACCATGCATGCTAATAAATATGTATTGTTTATTTATGCTTCAAAATTCAACTCTGAAAACATTTAGATAAATAATACATTTTTGTTGATTCAATACAATTTATTTAATGACTGAATAAATAAATTTGTTTACTATTGTCAGTGGTCACCATCACACTATGTGGATAGCAAAAATTAGGGGTTAGAGATGTGTCTAAAATACAAGATACTAATTACCCCTATCTTTCTTATTTAAAAATTAATATTTTAATTAAACAATTGAACTTAAGCAAAGTTACAAACAATTGAACTTAAGCAATGTTAGAAGTTAAGCAGATAAATCTTATTTAGCAAGATCACTCTTTAGTAAATAAGTAGAATTGAATATTTTTCCTCACTTTTTCTCCTCTATTAGCTTTAATCAGACCTAATTCATATACTTAAACATGGATTGCATATTTATTACTATTAATTCCTACACTGACACTAGAGTTATTTTGGACTGACCCTCTGGTTTCAGATTATCATGAAATACAATATATTGTATTTAGTTCAGATGCTGAAAAAGTCTCTGCATTATGAATACTTATTTTAAGTACTTATCGCAACCATTATGCTAATAATGGATATTTTCTATGTTTACTTATACATTGTAATTTTAGCATTATGCATATTCTCATCAACCTAAATATCTGGGCCTTTCCCGTTTGCTCCTCTGCTCCAAGATCCCCTGATTCCCTTTGTTCATACAGCAATAGAAGGAAATAGAAGAGAAAGAGAAAAAAATTTTGTAGATTTTCTTGTTTTACACATTACAACCTGTTTTTTGTTTGTTTGTTTGTTTTGCCTGGATTCTGTCTAATCAGATGCTATTTTTCCATTTGCCTCTAAAAATAAAATCGTCCCTCACTCATAAATTACAGCAAACAAAAATTACTGACTCGTTTTAACATGAAATTCAAATCGAGTAACGTCCCCCTAGCTGCAGGCCAGCAACATATGAGGTCAAATGGTGTAATTAAAAGTCTTCACATGTATTTTTTTTAAAAATTATGTATTCTTATTAAATTTATCTTTACATTATCTTTTTACTTGAAATATTTGAGTAACATTATCAAATATGATTAAATAAATATATTATTATGTCAAATGCAATTTTTTTTTTTTGAGACGGAGTCTTGTTCTGTTGCCCAGGCTGGAGTGCAGTGGAGTCATCTTGGCTTACTACAAACTCTGCCTCCCAGGTTCATGTCATTCTCCTGCTTCAGCCTCCCGAGCAGCTGGGACTACAGGTGCCCACCACCACACCTGGATAATTTTTTGTGTTTTCAGTAAAGATAGGGTTTCACCATATTAGCCAGGCTTGTCTCTATCTCACGACTTCATGCTCTGCCTGCTTCAGCCTCCCAAAGTGCTGGGATTACAGGCGTTAGCCACCACGCCCAGCCTTATTTCAAGTGTAATTTCTTACTGAGTTTTCATAATATTAATTTATAATAGCACTTAGCATACAGTGCTTGTGTCAAGTTTAAAAGGCTGCAAAAGATGTAGTAGACTTGAATAGTAATGATCTAATCACTTATTTTACAGATAAAGAAACTAAAGGCCATATGGAAAAGTCAAAGTTGTAAACAGAGGAATTATTTTGAAGGGACTTTCATTTTTAGGTTCAGAAATTATTTGAGAAATGTGTTCTGAACAGGACCTTTGAAAACAAGTAGGTGTAATGGAAAGTAAACATGCATAAACCAAAAGTATTAATAACTAACTCAATAATGGTGAGTATTAGGGGACCAGTAGCAGGTTTTAAAACAAATATGAATCTCAGGTTTGTGTATTAGAAGATGGGGAGTCACCTGAAAAATGGCATAAAGTTCAATGTGACAATTACATAGTTTCTGACAATGCTTGTTGACAAAATGAACTAATGTTGAAAGAATGGAGGGAAAACACCTGTGAGGAAATAAAAACCAAAAACTATTTTTGATCCATTTGTCAAGAGCTTTAAGATGTAAAACGTCTGCAATTCGGAATTTTTTGTGGGTATAAAATAAATATTACACTAAGTGTACTCCATATTTCCTTGAAAATTATTGCACGGAGTGGTGTAAAATTAATAAAATGTAGTGGCCTTAAGAAACAAACAACAACAACAAAAGTAATGTGTGTTTAAAGAGGCCATGTAAAAAGACTTTCAACTTTTGTGTTTTCTGTAGATAGCCAGTCTTCTAGAGGGTCCTATGTTTTAGAACTGAGAGCTGGTCTGCATGACAGTAGATATTTACAGTGGTGAAGGCTGTGAGAGTAGAGCGAAATATCCTTGCTTTCACATATCCTTTGTAGTGCCAATACAGAGAAACTCCTTTTTTTTTCTTCCCAGTGGTATTTCTGGTAAGAAAGAAGCTTAGTGTTTCACAGTATGCATTTTCATGTTGTTTGACTGCTAAACACTCCACCGCTCAGAACCTTGAGATAATGGGGAAGCTCAGAATCCAGTCATTTGAAGTAGGAAAACAACTCTGATGCATTGCCCTTTTATATTTGTTTGCATTAATGGATGAGGCCCCTAAGGTGTTTTCAACTCCAAAATTGTGAACAGCAAAGCAAAGCTATGACATGAGCAGGACGAAGGATTTGCCTAATCTAAGAACTATACTAATTGGTGTTAGGGAGATAATTTCTTTGGAATTATTTACTTAGGTAAACTGTCACATCTCATGACTGCTTCCAAGTTTACCTGAGTAAAACATTTGTTACCTTGCTACCTCATCTTCATTTATTTATTTTAGTAGAAACTTTGGTTTTCAGGAATTAGTGTCAAAATTCCAATAATTATTATTTAATAATAACCCTGTATTTGGTTGAATTTTCTAAAAAAAAAATGTTGAAATGATAACCCTAGGGATATGCAACTCTAACCTTATTTGGAAATATAAACTTTTCAAATATAATCAAGTTAAGGTAATGTCACACTAGATTAGGGCATGCCCTAAATGCAGTATCTTGTATCATTACAAGGAAAGAGAGATTTAGAGACCAGAGACATACACCCAGGGAAGACAGCCATGTGAAGAGAGAGGTAGATGGTGAAGCAGTATATCTACAAGCTGATGAATGCCAAGGATTACTGGCAACAACCAGAAGCTGGGAAAGGCAAGGAAGAATTCTCCTCTAGGAATCTCAGAGGTCCTGCAACATATTGACTTCAGACTTTTAGCTTCCAGAATGCAGAAAAAAAAAATATGTTTTTCAAAGCCATTCAAAATGTGGTAATTTTTTAATGGTAGCTCTAGGAATCTAATACATTGTCAGAACTATAATTTTCCCCTGATTATAAATTATCTACTTATTGTTATCTTTTTCAACATTTTCTCATTGCTAGTAAAAACATATAATTTCCAACTTTTTGTATAGAAAGTGTTGCTATATCTTTTAAAACTGCTAGTTATATTAAGGATTTCTCAACAGAATATGTAAATTTAAAGGGAAAAACAAATTTAGTCTTCTTAATGAAATCAGTGTTGATTGGGTAAAGAAAAACATCCTCTTTCTCTCCTGCAATCTGGCCTGGGCCTCCTCCTGTGAGCATCCCAGATTAAATCATATGGCTTGTTACCCTAATGTGAATTTATGAGAGCAACAATGATGATTGTTATGATAATTACGGTGATTACTAGAAACAGGTCTTCATACCTTAATTTTTTTGTTTGATAATTATTTGCTAACATTCACTGGTATACACCATGTATATTATACTTGTGCACACATAAACCCCTTTGAATAAACAGTATTACATTTCCCTTTCCCTTTGTACTAGCTTGAGTTCCCCAGTAAACAAGCCTGAAATAAAAGAGCATATGTGGAGTACTTTAGTGAGGTATATGAGATACAGGACAAGCAACACATGGAAGGGAGGACATTTACTATAACATCTTACCAAGTAGGCTAGCTTGAAAGGGAGTTGGGGCAATTCTAGAGTTAATACTTTATGATAAAGAAACTCCTCTCTACACACAACAACCTCAATTAATAACCTTCAACCTTTGTGCCTGAAATAACACAGGTTCTCCATAGAAGTCACTACTTCTCTTGCAGCCCACCCAAGCACAGGCCACTTAATCCTCTCACACTCCACATAATGGAAGGCCTGAGTAAGGTCACAGATTCATCTTCTTCCCTTTCTAGTATCATATTCAAATACACTTTCCTAAATTTATTTTTAAATTTAGGAAATTTAAAAATTTATTCTCACAATTTTCCTGTCCATTCCAATTCCTGTCAATGATTACAGTGAGTTTAACATTCACACAAAGGCCCACCAAATAATACCAGTATCTGAAATTCCTAGTTTCCAAAGACCTTCTCTTACACTTTAGTTCAGCCATCATCTTTTACTGTTTTCTCTTCACTATTTTGTTTCCTGATATAGGGTCTCACTCTGTTGCCCTGGCTGGAGTGCAGTGGAATGATTATAGCTCCCAGCAGTCCTGAAATCCTGGGCTCAAGTGGTCCTCCCACCTCAGCTTCCCAAGTGGCTGGAACAAGAGATATGCACTACCATGCCAAGCGAAATTTTTATTTATGTGCTTATTGTAGAGATGGGTCTTGCTATGTCGCCCAGGCTACTTTCAGACTCCTGGACTCAAGCAATCTTCCTGCCTTGACCTCTCAAAGTGCTGGAATTATAGGAACAAGCCACCATGCAGGGTCCCCTTAATGATTTATTTTACTAATATTTTAAAGTACTTTGCTTATACATCTCACATGTGGAAGCCCAAATGTGGAACACCTCACCCACCCCTGTCCAAGCTGTTTCCTAGAAAGCTGCCTGTCATGTTTGAGCTGCATTATGAGCACACTCATGTGTCAATACGTAGAGGCAGCCTTTAGCTAATAGCCAGTTAGGAACTGAAGTCCTTAGCCCAACAGCCCATTGAGAACTAAACCCTGCCAACAACCAGGTGAACAAGCTTGGAAGCACATCTTTCCCTACATGTGTATTACAATGACTGAAATCCTGGTTAACACCTTGATTGCAATCTCACGAGAAGCCTTGAGCCAGACATACCCTGATAACTATGCCCAGTTTCCAGAACCACATAAACTGTGAAGTAATTAATGGTGTTTTTTTAAGCCACTAAGTTTCAATATTATTTGTTACTCAGTGATAGATCATAAATAAATTAGCTATGCCCCCTTACCAAAGTCATCTCTGCTTCTGGGAGCTAAAGTGCATGCTAGAAACTAATGTTATGTGATTAGGTAATTGGTAACTGGGAAGCAATACCAAAATCTCTAAAAAAGTAGTCATAACAAAACAGACAGAGATCGAGTAGCTGAAGGGAAGTCGCATATACGCCATAACACACTCTGTAAATGCATCTGAATTTCTGCTTTCCCCACAAAGGTATCGTTGGTGCCATGCCTACTTAAGGTTAGTTCTTAAGGACATGGTGTTCTAGTCAAAGAGTACATGAAGGATGTGGTGTTCTAGTCAAATAGTACACTATGGGTAGAATTACTCTGATGCATTCTCTGAGCTCTTTCTGCATTATCTGAACAATTTGGTGATACTTACTTATTTGTATTCCCATCTTTCCCTTGCTCATTTTAATTTAATAACATCTTCATTTCATCCTTTTACTCTCACCAATAGGATGTATCATATCTCAAATACTTCTTTGTCACATTTTTAATTTCTGCTATTGCTTACAAGTAATATGATAATGATGCTAACAAAGGACAATCAAAGGGCCCAATCTTACACAGTTAAGGGCTGTTCAGGAGTAGGTCACTATCATTATCCTTTGTTCCTCCATGGCCAAAGTCCATTGTTTCCATTTAGACAATTTAGATATTTTGATTTCTCTCTTCTTTTTCCTAGGATTGGCTCACACTGTATTTTGAGGGCTTCTATGTGGAATCTTGCTTTTACATTGTATAGTTAAACCAATTTATATACTAGTCTCCTGGTCTTATAGCCTAGGCATGGGATAGCATATGCATGGCATGAGTTCAGTCAGTGACATCCTTAAAATATTGGTATAGTATAGGTATTAATAGAATAAATGAATTACTTTGTCTCTCAGTGTCTCAGCTTACTGATATATCAAATGGGGCTGAAAGTCATTTATACTTCATACAGAGATTGGGATGATGAAATGAGTTAAAAACTTAGGCCACTTAGAACACTGACTGGTACATAGAAAGGCATGCACATTTGCTACATATACCAAATATAAACCTTTCAAAAAATAGGAATATTAAATTTTATAAACAATTTCCAGATTTCTACATATGTTATCTCACCTGATTATGATAAAAATCATGGGGTAAGGAATGGCCCAGGTTATTTTAGCCATTTTACAAACGATGGAACAAAGGTTAAAAAAAATACCAGCATCAACTCTCCTAAGTATCAGGGCAAAATTATGAATATAGATTTTTTTCTGGAAACTTTTCTGAAGTTACTTCTGCCTGTTTCAGAGGAGTCTAGAGGTACCAACCTATGAGCTTATTGATGGAGACTCAATGGATTTTGATTTTTCTGTCCTTCACCAGGACAGGGCCAGCAGTGTTTCCACTGCAGAACGTGGTGGGGTGTGGTGTGTTCATGTGTGAGTTCATGATGGGAATTGAACATAGTGTTCAAGTTAATATGTGTGAAGGGAGAAAAAATTGCTGTAAGATTTGGAATCCCCTTTAGGCAATCATCATATTGTAGTTTGTCAAGCTTGGAATGATGTACTTCCATATCTTACTGGGAGTTGTGTTGGGATGTTTTTTTTCTAGTATCAAACAGTAACATAGTAATTTGTGGCCAATATTCAAGAAATCAAGATGCTCAGGACAGTACTTCTCAGGCTTTCTTGAAAGTGTAGTCTTATGTTTTTATTAAGAGAAAGAAAATGTCTAATCTTACCATTTGATAAAATAAAACCCATAATATAAAGAATAATATACATCTCATATTTTTACAGCACTTGAACAGTGTTTCTGATTTTAACATAAGCTAACACATCATACATTTTATACACTGCAGCACAATTTTCTTTTGTGTTATTGCATTGTACAAAAATTTAATAACAAAAAAGAAAGTGTTCATACTAATAGAAGCGAGTAAGCCATGTATTATTCAGTCTGTCTAGGGAGTTAAGTCCCTTTGTTTTCACTCCCACTGAGTGAAACATTGCCAAGAGAAGTAGATATAACCGTTATAAAATATCAGAAGACTACAATTTTTAATATCCAAAGAATTGTTTTTAATGTCTGAATTTCGTGTCTTTTATATTGTAGTTCTTTTTTTTTTTTTTTTTTTTTTTTTTAATGGAAGCACACTGTCAGCAGAGAGCTATCAGGTCCCAGTCTTTTATCTATAGCACTGGTGAAAGCTCCACCTGCCTATCAGGACCTACTCTTTTTTCTGTAGCACTGGTGAAATCTCCACCTGCTTACTTCAGACTTGTGAGAGTTTCTTTCCTTAGGAAGTGGTGGCTGGTGCCAGAATGAGAAGAAATATCATGCCCTCTGAGAGTAGAGAGCAGCTGGTGTACCTGTCCTGGTGTTTATGAGATATAATAGGCATAAAGGCACATCTGGAACTGGTTGGGGAAATAATGTAAGGCTTCTTACATTTATCTTTATAATCTACTTTCCTAGCAAGTACTATCCTGCCATTCATACTCTCTTAAGCAAATGTTGATGGAAAAAAAAAAAAAGGTCTGTTACCACAGTGGCTGAGAGAATGGAATGTATGTCCTAGTTAGTTAAACTATTTTTTTATCAAATGAAAAATAAATACACAGAGAAATTTGTTGAATTTTTCTTTCTTTGAACAATGAAAGACCTTTTCATAAGAATTAGCCAGAGTGGGTACGTCTGGAAAGCAGTCAACACAAAGTTTCTATTTGGGAGAAAACTAACATGATTGTGAAAAAAAAATAATCACCTGTAGTATGATCCAAATTTTTCAAGCCAGGGATGTTACAGAAAGGAATTTGCTACCAAAAATTTGCATTAGATGGTATTTCCACTATTCCAAACTATTTATTTCTGATGACATGTTCCTTTGTTTGGGCAGAAGTTTTATAGCATGTATTTAGTGAAGAGCTACAGAACCTTAATAAAACGCAATAAGTAAAACATCCACATGGCAAAACTAGGGTCACTATTATGATTTTAAAAATACTTTCCTACAGAAATCAGGTCTCAGGCAGCTTTTGCAAGTCACAAAAATTATTCCTCAGTGTTGGGTCTGCTGTTTTATACTCTCCCCTTTCCCACTATTTCTTGTTATTTTTCCTGAAACATTTTGGGGTCTACTGTCCACCCTCTCAATGAACATCCACACTGTGACTCTCATAGCGTATTCACACCTGCTTTATTCATTTATTAAATGGTTAATTCAGGAGGTGCCACCACGGCCCACAGATTTGGGAAGACACTGGAAATATAAAGATGTCCAGTTGATACAGCAGAGTTAACTTCTCCAAAAACATAGGAATGCTATGTAAATGAGAACTATTAAATATTCACAGTAGAACCAAAAAAATCACATGCGGGATATGAAACAGGATCATAAAGCTCGTGCTGTAAGCTAGAGCTGAAGCCAAGGTGGGCTGTTTTCCAACACAGATTTACCCTTTGCAGGGTGAGATCATGAGTTTTGATTCCCAGCTAAGGTGCAAGATGAGGTTCTCATATCTTGAAAGGCATAAAACCACCACATAAACTCAGAAACTATGAGACATGATCTGATTTTTCTCCTGGAGAATGGTTGGCAGCGTTCCTTCTGCATATCACTCAGGGGTGGTGGGGGACAGAGTGGCCTGTCAGCAATTGGAACAGAAGCCTACCCACATGCAACTCAATTCGAATTTTTACTTTACAGATGGGCATCTACTGTATTGAGAGTAAATTTTGCATCCTCTCAGAGGTAAAATGGAAATGCATGTGTGTACTAGCATCCAAAATGCACGGTGCTCCCAGGAAAGACAATGCCTACTAGAAATAATCAGAGCATCAGAAATCACTGAAAGTTACCGTAATGAAGTAAACATCCATGCAAGAGTCAACAGATGCACTAAAGATAAGGCAACTTGAGTTCATTCATAATATTGATAATGTGTTATCAAATATTAAATAACATTATCAAATAATGTCTTCAATTTTTGCACCAATATTTTAATCTTCTCTCAATTTTCTATTTAAAAATATGTAGACCCTTAATTCTCATTCCTTAACATGTCTATCCCATGGATTTAATTAGACTTCACTTACAGAAATGGTGTCAAATTGTGGAATTTTATGAAACAGGATTTATTGAGAGTTATGCTGTATCAAGCACTGTGCAACATGCTAAAGATACAGCATTTAAAAAGCCAATATTGAGGCCAGGTGCGGTGGTTCATGCCTGTAATCCCAGCATTTTGGGAGGCCAAGGCAGGTGGATCACGAGGTCAGGAGATCCAGACTATCCTGGCTAACACGGTGAAACGCTGTCTCTACTAAAAATACAGAAAAATTAACCAGGTGTGGTGGCGGGTGCCTGTAGTCCCAGCTACCCAAGAGGCTGAGGCAGGACAATGGCGTGAACCCGGGAGGCAGAGCTGGCAGTGAGCCCAGATCGTGGTACTGCACTCCAGCCTGGGTGACAGAGTAACACTCTGTCTCAAAGGAAAAAAAAAAAGCCAACATTAATGTGGCTAAAGAGTCAAGTGGAGCCTATGAGGCAAGGAGGCAGGTCAACAGGTAGTGATAATTCAGAAAGATAAATTAATGCCATAAAGAAACAACACAGTATACAATGGTCTTGTGTTAGCCTTACTTATACAAACTGGGAGAGGCATTGAGCTTATCCTGGCCAAATTTTTTAATTTCATGTGTTAAAAAATCTTATAACATAAAAATAAATTAAGAGTTTTCCTGAATGCAAGTCACTGGTCAAATTGGCCTCACATGTCTGTTTTATAAACAAATCTCCAGATTATTTGGCAATGTCTAAAGAATTACTGGTAAAAAATATGGCATGACCCAAAATTTCATACACCTAAATTTTCAAACCCATGGAAAATTAGTGGAAAGAAAACTTTACATATACTAGAGATTCAAATGTGTAACCCATGCTACCTCATGAAAAAAAGTTAATATTAAAGCACATAGCAGTTGAACCAGAGATTAACTAAAATAATGAATAGAAAGATTGGGTTATAAAAAGGTGTGATTCAAAAGAAAATATAGTCCAGAAACAAAAGAACACACTCACACAAACACGCTGCACATGTTTGTGTGTGCCTGTAATTCCAGCTACTCAGGAGGCTGAAATGGGAGGCTCTAATATTTGAACCCAGGAAGTCAAGCCTGCTGTGAGCTATGATGATGCCAGTGCAATCCAGTGTGGACAACAGAGTGAGATATTGTCTCAAAAAAAAAAAAAAGAGAGAGAGAGAGAGAAACGATAACTGCCTGAAGTGAAGGATACCCTGTCTATTATTTACATATTTGTTTATTTTCATGTTTATTTTTGAGTTGAAGTCTTGCTCTGTCACCCAGGCTAGGGTTCATGGTGCAATCTCAACTCACAGCAGACTCAGCCTCCCAGGTTCAAACCATTCTCATGCCTCAGCCTCCCAAATAACTGTAAGATACTGCAGAGGCATGCACCACCATGTCTGGCTAATTTTCATATTTTTGGTAGAGACAAGGTTTCTGGTGTTGGTTTCCATGCTGGTCTTGAACTCCTGTGATCTGATTTTCTCAGCCTCCAAAAGTGCTGGGTTACAAGCTTGCGCCACATCTCCCGACCTTTGTTTATTTTGTAGAGTGCCAAATGACTTCATGCTGAAGATTTTGCCATGAAGACTGATTTCTTCATCATTTGAGAACTGGGCAATATTTACTTGTTTTATTTTGCACTTTATATTCTCTAACTGGTCTGTTTATATTAAACACGTACAAATGTACATGTGTGTTACTGTATTACTATCAATATAAAATCCCTACTTACAAATTTCCTTGTACATTAGGAAAGTAGGAATGCAGAAGAAAGTTATCTGAAACAATATTTAATAGCAAAATGTAAGAAATCACCTAAGTGTGCACAAAAAAGAGCCAATACTAAAAAGAGCACCCATAGTTGATGCCACTAATACTAATGTTAAATTTAAACTACTTATATTAAATTGCATACAAATGTAGTAAAAGCATACAGACACTCATGGTAATAAATATAACCAAGTTTTACTGAGTTTTATTTTGAAATGTAGAAGCTAATGTGGTAGTTTTCTTTACTTTAAATTGTATATAGTATAAACAAGCAAGTTCAGCTTTGTTACTGGAAATCACAATAATGCTGAGATAAGTAAATTCTAACAGGTTAGAAAATAAAACAAAGCTGAGAAGGATAAAATCCACCATCTCAATCCATCATGCTGAGAGGAGAACTGAAAAGCCACCTCCCGACTTAAGGGAAATCAATATTTCTGCCAAAGTCTGGGTACAGCTATAAAGGGTCATAAAAATTATCATATCTGAATGACTTCTGCTTTCTTACTCACTGAGAAACTTTATGTTCTGAAATTATAAACAGAGTATTTGCAGTTTGAAATATTGTCAGTAAAAATAAAACTTAGTACTCTTGCCTGGCTGATGTATGTCACTTTCTACAGAAGAAAAAAAGATTTCCATTCTAGGTACATAGCTTCAAATAACAAGAATTTGCACTCAAAATTCCACACAAATGTCAACTTGTGATCTACAAGGAATAAAGACACTGAGTTCTCTCACAGTCTAAACATGATGTTTTCGCATTTCATACACAGGCGTACTGCACCTTGAACCTATTGAAACTCTGCTCTGTCTAAATATCTACTCACCACATTTCCCATAAATCCTACAGTGCCTAGTTTTATTACTTTAGTTGTCCCTCAGGCATGGTCTGTCTTACTCTACCAAGTCAATACAATTTTATCAGACTATAGGTTTGTCCTACATACTAAATGTAACTGGCAAAAGTATCTAATATGCCTAGAATCCCCAGAAATAAAGCACATTTTCTGATTTTACAAAATTGATTCCTATATACATTACTCATTTGAGAGAAGTGCCATTTTTCAAGTGACTGATATAAAAATGGTAATGTCCACAATAAGTTGTATTCTATTTTATTTTAAAATGTGGATTTTTTTCTTTTTTTTTTTTTTGCCAGGCAAGGTGGCTCATGCCTCTAATCCCAGCACTTTAGGAGGCTGAGGCAGGTGTACCTCAAATGAGACCAGTGTGGCCAACATGACATAAGCTGATCTTTACTAAAAATACAAAAAAAAATTGCCACGTCTGGTGGCATACGCATGTAGTCCCAGGTACCCAGGAGGCAGGAGAATCGCCTCCAGGAGGCAGAGCTTGCAGAGAGCCAAGATCGCACCATTGCACTCCAGCGTGGGCCAGAGAACTGGACTCTGTTTCAAAAAAGTAAAATACAATAAAATAAATGTGGATTATTTTTGAAAATATAATAAGCCAGTTTCTATGTTTTTTCTGAAATTTTTATCTGTATGTATTCCTTTGACACAGAAAGTCTTATATAGACAAGCTTATACAAATGTTTCAACTAAATTTGAATTATATTTGCACAACTTGCTAAAAAGATTTCTGTAGGGCCTTCTTTCTGCTAACATTATTTTCTTGCCTATATTTTATCTAAGTTCATTATGCAAACAGAATTTGTGTTGTGTCTTCAAAAACGACTTCTGAAAGCCTTCCATGGCCCATTATGCCACTAACCACCATGGGGCAATGGAGACCATATTTACCCTCCCAGGTTAAATAAGTATAAAACTAGACAGAAATATGAACAAAAGATTTTTCTACGTTCAATTACAGGCAGCACCAAACAAAAATTTCTCAGAAAAGATGAATAAAGACAGTGTAAGAATGAACCCTGCTTATCGCCAGTCCATAACTTAGGGGGTGTTGTTAGTTTGAGAAGACTAAAATCAGAGTTCAACCATACCAATAAAGCTAGAATTTGTAGAGCAAAATGCCAGAAAATAAAAGAGGACTTACACAAAAAGGAAACCCCAGAGAGGCAAAAGAGTTCACGCGGGCCTTCCACTGCCTGTTAATCTGCATATCCATGTGAGAAAATTATCTGAAGTTTAAAGAAAAGCACTGGGACAAAACTATTCCCTGTACATGCATCTATAATGTCGACTGGGCAGAGTACTTTGACTTTGGTTCTTGGTAAGTAGCATAGCATGGTCTTAATATTATTTCTTTAGCTACACTAAATATCAGAAATGTATGAGAGTGCCTTAATGGCTTAGGTTGTAGTTGTTTTAAGAGCCTGTGATGAAACTTTGGTGGGGTTTGGTTGTGCTGGGCAGGCCTGTACTCAGGATCCTTGGTAGCATCAGAAGAAACCAGCTGTGACATCTGCATTGGGCAGGTCAGTTTAGGGGTCCCAGGCAGCATGGAAGGGCCCCACTGTGGTGGCTGTGGCCTAGGTGGGCCAGGCTTTGGTCCTCCATGTGGTACATGTGGGTGCCTGTAGTGGCAGTGGCAGTTTAGGTTCTGGGTTGTGGGTCCTGATGTGACACTCACTGGTGTGTGTGTGGTTGTCTTGCTGCTGAGGGGTTGGGAGGAGTTGGTGCCTCAGTGGCAGCATCCTCAGGCAGGGATTTTCCATGCTCTATGGATCACATATTTTTGTTCCCTACGTTTTGAGGCAGCCTTTCAAGTATGCTGGAATGCCTATTCCTTAGGGTATAGGATGCTGCATGATTTCCATTACCACAGACACAGCCACATTGTTGCATCCAGCTGACACTGTGACACTGAAGCCTCTGTGCAGACAAGACAGCATATGAGCAAGGACCCAGGACATGGAGATGCAGGGGATATTGGACCTCTGGGCAAAAGGCTCTAATGTAGGTTGTAGACTGCCTTTTGCCCAATATCACCCTCAACAGTGGGCCATGCACCAGCAGTGAGGGCTTCTGTGGGCATGGGGTCTTGCATGAGTTCCCTCTCTGGGACAATATAGTTGTGTGGACATCAGGCAGGTCTCTGTATTAGGCTTAGGATCTGTCCTCACAGGGCCAAGGGGATTCTCTGCATCCAGGATTGCAAATGTGGTCATTCTTTCTTCCACAGTGGAGAATTCCTTTTGGTTCTGAGCCAATTCCAGTTGGCTGCTTTGGTCCCTCTCTATACTGCTGCCATCCCCAGTTTTCATGCCTCAGAGAGTCACAGTCACTTCCCTGCTGAATTCTAGCATTCTCCCAAAGATGTTCAATTCAATACCTAGTTATCTATTTGCTATTTTGGACCTTCCTTGTGGAGGATGTTAGGGTGAGTCTTGAGTGACTCTTAGCAGCCATCTTTATCCTTTTGTTGTTGTTATTTATTTATTTAGATGGAGTCTTGATCTGTCATCCAGGCTGGAGTGCACTGGTGAGATCTCAGCCCACTGCCACCTCCGCCTTCTGGGTTCAAGTGATTCTCCTCTCTCAGCCTCCCAAGTAGCTGGGATTACAGGCCCCCACCACCAAGCCTGGAAAATTTTTTGTATTTGTAGTATAGATGGGGTTTTGCATATTGGCCAGGCTGGTCTCAAATTCCTGACCTCAGCTGATCTGCCCACCTCAGCCTCCCAAAGTGCTGGGATTACAGGCGTGACTCACTGTGCCCAGACTTTTATTTTTTATTTGTATAAAAAATATATCAATTATTTTTCTCTCCTTTTATCTTTGTCTTCTCCTTATAGTACTCCACACATTATCATCCTGCTTCATAATGTTCCATAAGTTCCTTAGGCTGTCTTCATGATTCCTGATTTTTCTCTTTCATTTTTATCCTCCAATTATTTTCAAAGACTTGATTTAATTGTGCTTATCCTTTGTTCTGCTTGATCCAGTTTAACATTTGGACCTTCTGTTTAATTTTTGACTTAGGTTCCTGTATTTTTTACTTCTTTAATTTCTCTTGATACCTTGAAATATTTTCTACCTCTTTGTTAAAATTCTTAGTTTTTAAATGCATTGCTCTCCTGACTTAGGTTAATACCTTAGTGCTTTTTGTTTTGATTTCCCCGTCAGGGACATTACATACATTCATTTTATCAGATTCCTGTTGATTTCAGGAATCTATTGATTTCTTTCGTTCTCTACCTTGGAATGTATTTTCCTCTCCACTGCACCCCCTGGCCATCTGCCTTCCTGTACCCACTACCATCAGCCCCATTTTTCTTGACTATGAGTTGGTTTCTGCAAGTCAGTGAAGACAACCATCATTCTGTTTTCCTTAACTCATCCTATATAGAAAATTTCATTTCCTTAACAGTGCAACAGAGTTTCCAGGTGCTTCTCAATTCTGTGATTGTCCAACTCACTGTCTTTCTTCTTATGGCCCCCTGGATTGTAGGGTGTGTAAAATCATAATATTCCTTTGGCATAGGCAAGATAGTAGCCAGCCTCATGATATGCAGGTAAAAGGTTTTGCTATTAGATGTATATTATTTGTGGAGAAGCGTAGATTCAGAGTTTATGTCCAACTAGTTCTGCCCTATGCCAAGAATAGTGCCCATTACTGACATCTGTACAGTCATTCATTATGCTTACTCTGAATCTGGACAGATAGTCATTGAACATTTACAATTTTGACAATCTTGTTCTCTGTGATATAGGAGACTCAAAATAGAGAGTCCCATTCACTTCCAGAAGTAGATAATTTAAGACAAGTCCCTTAGGTACAAGCTGTAAAATTTGTGACACATGATATATGCAGAAGCTCCTTCCAGGGAGGGTCTACAGACCTTGATTTATCACCAGGGAGAAGGTAGTGCAGAGTGGCTGCTTTCTCATTCTGCATTGCCAAAGTCACACAACTTTCTTGCAGGAAGAATCTGCAAGTCAGATTTCTTGCTGTGGCAAGGCAGAGAAGAAAGCAAGAAGGCCTAGGAGTGTTCACCGTCACATTTATACTTTACCAAACAATCTGTCCAGGGAGAATAGCAGGTGGGATTTGTTGCTAGAACAAGCCTGTGAAGCAAGCATACTATGTCTGGTGATAGAAGGGGAGTGCTCTCTCTTCCATTCAGGATTTCAGAGATCTAACTCCCTGATTTTCTCTAGTGAGTGGTGGCAGAAATTTGCTATTAGAACAAGCCAGGGAAGAAAATGTGGGAAGTGTTTTTCTTCTCATTTAGGCTTGTAAGTATTCTGACTCTCTGTCTCCTTCCAGACAGAGACTGCAGGGAATTTTGCTAGAGCAAGTCAGAGAAAATGTCTTGGGGAGTGTTGTCTCTACTTAGCTCACAGGGGTCTGTCTCCAGCCTACTTTGAGAGAATAATTGCAGAAATCACTGAAAGAAGTGAAAAAAGGCACAGTGACTGTCGTTCTTCTCATTTAGGCTTTTGGTAGTATTTGTTCTAGCCTCTTTCCAGGGAGAGATTTCAGAGATATATTACTAAAGCAAGCTAGAGAAGAAGAGACTAGGGGTGCTGAGACCTTTCTTCTAGCTCCTGAAGACTTCAAACATCTTTCCAGGGAGAGAAAAAATGCTTTCCCTAATCACTGAAGGAAGCCAGGGAAGAAGGCACAGAGATTGATGTCCTTCCCATTAGGCTCCACAAAGTTTATTCTTTGATTGTTTGTTTATTTGTTTTGAGTAGGGATTACAACCTTGGTTACAACTCCCCTGGGCTGTAATTCTCTTCAACCTGATACTCTTTTT
Source organism: Homo sapiens (assembly GCF_000001405.40). NCBI lineage: Eukaryota > Metazoa > Chordata > Mammalia > Primates > Hominidae > Homo > Homo sapiens. The sequence continues at coordinate 8,152,582 of NC_000024.10, read as the reverse complement.
TTGAGAGAGGAATACATTCTTCAGGGCAAAATGTTTCTTCCAAGCCTGGTGTGAGAGTCAGCTCTATTTAAGTCACTTTTTTTTTTTTTTTTTTTTAGTGAACATTAGACCTTTACTCCTCATCTGAAACTCTCTTCTTCATGGTTGTCTTTCTTTATAGAAAACCCATTTCCTTGCATGTAGGTTGGATATCTATTCTTCCTGACTCTTCTGCTAGGAGAAATTATTTTCTGGCTGACTGGGCTTAAGTCAGGAAGTCCTGACTTTCTGATATCCCTGAGTAGGGAATTATTTTCTAACTTCATAGGATAAAATGTTTTTTTCTTTTGCTTTGTTTTCCCAATAGGGACTATTCCCTAACTCTCTGAGCTTAAAGTGTCTTTTTTTTTTTTTTTTTTTTTTGCTGTCGCCTTTTGGTAGGAATTATTCCCTGACTCATTGAGTGAAAGTCTCTCTACCTTTTCTGTCCTAGCCTAGTAGAGATTATTCTCTCTTTGCTAAATGTCATATCTTTTCATGTTGTTTTATTGGTGATTAATCCCAGGCTTTATGGTATAGAAGTATCTCCTTAGTGGATGTCTTATCTGAATAGAAATTATTTCCTGATTTCTGGGATAGTACTCTTTTTTTCTGGCTATTTTACTTCAATGGGAGGTGTTCCATGCCTCCTGGAGTAGAAAATTATTGTTTTTGATTGTTTTTCTGACTGAAGACTTTTCCCTGGGCTCCTGTTTGGAAATTTCTGGCCTTCTTTGCTGAGCAGGAAAAAAAAAAAATCCTGGCTCTATTTCCTGTGTAGAAATTTCCTGACTCCTGGAGTAAAAACCTGTTTTTCTGGGCTCTGTTTCATAAGATAAATTATTATCCTCATTGGACATCATGTCTTTCCAGACCTCTTCCTTGAGTAAAAATTATTCTCTCACCTCATGCTTTGAAAGACCTTTCTCCTGGCTCTCTTATGAAATGGAATTTATTCCCTGGCACCTGAGCTGTAAGTCACTTATTAGCTCTCTTTTCTGACTCTCTGGATAGATATCTCTTCTTTCTCTTCTCTTTGTTAATGGGTAACATTTTTTCTGACTACTAGATTGTCTCTCTCTCCTAAGTGAGAATAATTCTCATGTGATTCTGAGCTCACAGTCTCTTCTTGGTTCCCTGTCCTAAATTAGTATTATTCTCTGAATCCTTGGACTGAACTTCTTTTTTTTTTCCTTCATTCTTTTCTCTGAGGTAAATATTAAATGAGCTCTGTGGTGAAAGACTGTTTCTCTATTTCTTTTCATGATTGAAGATTATTTCCTGGCTCCGTGGGGACAGAAGTTTGTCATCCCTCACTCTTTTTCCTGATTTGAAATTTTTCTCTCACATTTGGGCACAAAATTCTTCTTTCTGACTCTATTTCCTGATGGGGATTATACCCTGATTTCATTTTAAATCCTTCCTTTTCTCTCTTTAAAAAATTAATAATGATTATTCTAACTTTCTTAGGTAGAAGTTCCTTCTTATGGGCTATCTTTCCTGAGTGACATTTATTCCTAGCGTGCAGAAAGTATTTTTCTCCTGGTTTTTCCCTTAGTAGGGATTACTGTCTGACTCCAGGAGATGAACATTTTCTTGTTTTGTTTTTTCTTAACTTTTTTTCCCTTATTACAGATTATTCCAATTTTCTGAGTAATATTTCCTGATACCTTAGTTGGAAATTTCATCTTCCTGGCTCTTTTCCTTTATTGGGTATTATTCCCTGTCTCCTAGGGTGACATTTTCTTTTCCCAGGTTATCATTTTTCTTATGATTATTCCCTGACTCCCTGGGGTTGCAAGTCTCTCTTGCCTTGTTCTCTAATCTGACTGGAAATTGTTTCCTGATTTCCAAGTCTGGAACTCTTTTTTTGTTGGCTTTACTTCATGTTTGGGATTATTCCTTTATGCTTTTTGTTGTATACCCTTTTTCTTCCCAATAGGGGCCCATTCTCTGACATTTTCGGCTAGAGTTGTCCTCTTGGGTGTCTATTCCTAAGTAAGATTTTTTTTCCCTGATTATGCTAAACATCTTTTTTCCTTGCTACTTTCTGAGTGGGGTTTTCCTTGACTCCATTGGCTGGCTTTCCTTTACTCTCTTTTCTGAGTGCAGACTATTTCTTGATTCCCTACGTTGGAGACTTTTTTCCTTAATGGGAATTTCCCCATCTTTCTGGCCTGTCATGAAGTTTATCTCTATGTTTATCCATCTCTATCTTTCTCTATCTCTATCTATCTTTCTGTCTCACTGTCTCTATCTCTAATCTGCACTGAAACTCTTTGACCCCTCTCTGTTCTTTATTTGGATTCTTGCCTTTCCCATGGAAGTCTCATAGCCAACTAAAACCCACCTTCTTGAACTCTTGTGGACTTTAGGCTTTGCTTACTCTATATCCTTCTTGGCATGCATTTTTTAAGGATAACTTAGAACTTCAATGATGTTTGAGAAACTTAACATCTCCCTACACTAGTGCCTCTTTGAAGTCTTCCTTCTTATTTCTCATGTTTCTTGTTTCTCCTCTCACCACCTTCAATCTTCCCTTTACCTTCCTTGAATCAACTGACATACCCTCTTTCAAACCTCTCATCAACTATTCTTCTATCTACCCCTAAACAAGCCTTTTCCTTCCTATTTCAACCTTCAACTCTCTACATATAGTCAACAGAAATTTAGGCCCACTAAATCAGAAGCTCTTGAGAGACTCAAGTATCTTCTCCACCCTCCAAAAAATTACTGGCCTGAAGTTGAAATGAAAAATGCTAATTAGAAGGGATTGAGTATTTTATCTACCCAGCCTTTGGAGACATCCAGACTGCAACTATATGTATTCTATGCCTAAAATGTAGCCCTCTGGCTCCATAGAGTAAATATTGGGGCAAAATAATATCATAAAAGTCTTCTTCAACAATACAGACAAAAGGTATTAGTCCTCCTATTGAATAGGCAACCTTGTCTCATTTCCCAGAAGAACAATTTAGACAAAATATAAAATGGATATAAACAAGCGAGTTTTATATTACTCTATTGTCTGATTCATGACTAAGTTTTAGGAGAGCTATAAAATCTGTTGGCGTCTATTTTTATGCATATATGCTGTGTGTGTGTGATATATTTCTACCTCTGGATATTATTACCAAGTTAATTTTTAATATCATTTAAAGGGGTGCTATTCAAACTGGCTTAGAGATAAATGAATACTATTGTGAATGACATACTCTTAATAATCCTAGAAATATGTATTCAAGTTTGCGACTCATGCAAATATTTGGTAACTAGGATTACTTTAAAATTGTTTAACACAAACAGCTACATATTACAAATTGCTGTTATTATTAAGTATAAAAAGACATTTGTTGGCCAGGCATTTGGCCAGGCATGGTAGCTCATGCCTTTAATCCCAGCACATTGGGAGGCCGAGGCAGGTGGATCATCTGGAGTCAGGAGTTTGAGACCAGCCTGGCCAACATTCCAAAACCCCATCTCTACTAGAAATACAAAAATTAGCCAGGAATGGTGGTACGCAGCTGTAATCCCAGCTACTCAGGAGGCTGAGGCAGGAGAATTGCTTGAACTCGGGAGGCAGGGGTTGCAGTGAGCCAACATCATGCCACTGCAGTCCAGCCTGGGTGGAGACTCAGTCTCAAAAAAAAAAAAAAAAAAAAAAAAAGGAAAGAAAAAAAAGAGAATACGTTTGTCATTTGTATCCTTCTTGGATTTACTAATTTACTAGTTAAGCTGTGTTAGGTTCAATGGACATTTAAGATTCTATAAAAATTTATATGGCAATTGAGGCATTTATAAAGTTCAGTAAGAATGTGTTCTCCTTTCAACAGAACCTAATTGGAACCTGGATTTATTACAAAGCCTTGTCTGAAATATCAAATACATTTTTTTTGTTTGTTTTTTGAGATGGAGTCTTGCTCTGTCGCCCAGGCTGGAGTGCAATGGCATGATCTCGGCTCACTGCAAGCTCTGCCTCCTGTGGTCATATCATTCTCCTGCCTCAGCCTCCCGAGTAGCTGGGACTACAGGCACCTGCCACCACGCCCAGCAAATTTTTTGTAGTTTTTATTAGAGACGGGGTTTCACCTTGTTAGCCAGGATGGTCTCGATCTCCTGACCTTGTGATCCACCCACTTCGACCTCCAAAGTGCTGGGATTAGAGGCATGAGCGACTGTGCCTGGTCTCAAATACATTTAAGAATGTTTTGCATAAAATCAGGGATAACCAAGCAGCTTTAAGAACTAAAGTTGACTGTGGAGAAAATACTTATACAGCACTCTTGAAAAACCAGCCTGGTAATTGGTTAGACTTCCTAGCCTAAGAGAGGTGAGAGACAGGTCACTTCTGGGCAAGCTCTGGAACCTCACAATATTTGGGGACTTTGAGAGGAAAGGAATTCAACTAACTGTATAGGTTCTGAAAGGGAAGCCTGGTGGCAAGTTCCTGGCTTGGTTCTAGTCTCGAGGCTTTAAAAAGTATAATCTGAAACTAATAATATAAAGTTCTCACACAGTAAACTGGAAAGGCCTCTGTGGCCATGCATGGTGGCTCACACCTGTAATCCCTGAACATTCAGAGGCAGAGGTGGGAGAATCACTTGAGCCCAGAAGTTCAAGACTAGCCTAGGCAACATGGTAAAACCCCATCTCCAAAATCAAACAAACAGACAAACAAACAACGTACAAAATCAGCCAAGCATGATGGCTTGTGTCTATGGTCTCAGCTACTTAGGAGGCTGAGGTGGGAGGATCACTTGAGCCCATAAGGTTGAGACTGCAGTGAACTGGACACTGTCTCTAATTTAAAAAGTTATATGTATAATTTTGTGGTCACTGACAGATCTTACTGCACTTAGGTAAAAAATGATGATAAATCTAGTCAGACTAGACTTATTTTGTGAACAAGAGTCAAGAGAAGTAACTTCAGAAAGAATTTTGTTTCAATGGAATACTAAAACCACCCATGTGAGTTGTCTTACATATTTTATTAGTCTACAATTTCAATTCTGATTTTATCCAATATATAGCTACAACTCTCTAAACTAAAATTTCAACTCTGTGTCCCCTTTCATGATTTAGCATCACTGAAAACTAAAACTGCCCAGTTGTCCCCAAGCCTTGTAAGCTGAAGGTGGATGACTACATTTGAACAATTTAAAAAATTATCTTCATGCCCTTAAAATTTGATGCCAACACCGGAGGCATTAAAAACTGCAAACCAAAGAATTCATTAAATCATCACTGCCATCCTCACATCACCATCCTTAAGCTCAACATGTGGAAGTGTCAATTGGCTGCCCTCTGGAAGGGTTTGGCCTTTGATGGGAAGTAATCAGGTCAGGAAGACAGCACCCTCATAAATGTTATTAGCACCCTCCTAAAAGACTATAGAGTTACCAAGCCACTTCTACCATGTGTAGACTCAGCAAGATGGGTGTTTAAAATCCAGGAAGTGGCTGGGCATGGTGGCTCATGCCTGTAATCCTAGCACTTTGGGAGGCCAATCCTGTAATCCCGGCACTTTAGGAGGCCAAGGCAGGCAGATACGGGGTCAGGAGATTGAGACCCTTCTGGCCAAAATGGTGAAGCCCTGTGTATACTAAAATACAAAAAATTAGCCAGGTGTAGTGGTGCATGCCTGTAGACCCAGCTACTCAGGAGGCTGAGGCAGGAAAATCACTTGAACCCTGGAGGCAGAGGTTGCAGTGAGCTGAGATTGTGCCACTGTACTCCAGCTTGGTGACAGAGCAAGACTCCGTCTCAAAAATAAATAAATAAAAATGAAAATAAAATCCAGGAAGTGACCCCTCACCTGTACACTGTATTTGCTGATGCCTTGACCTTGGGCTTCTCAGCCTCTGGGATTACAAGAAATGTTTGTTAAAAACCACCAAGTCCAGTTATTTTCTCATAGCAATGCGTGTGGACAAAGATGATTTAAAAATCCTATTATTCATTCAAAAGCATTATATTCCTATGAAAAATGACACAATAAGGCTTTAGCTCTTTTTATTTAAAGGTCTTTCGGCATTTACTCTAACTTGCTGAACAGAATCCCTATTCCAAGGTTGATAAACTGTATCTTATAGGTTACTCTCCTGTTTCCCATACCTTTTAAACGTTATGACAGAATGCCTCATGGAGATAATTGGGGTTAAAAAAGCTTAGGGACAGAGTATCATAGACACATTTTTTCTTTTTTTTGTTTTGTTTTTGTTTTTGTTTTTGGCAGGGTATCACTTTGTCATGCAGGCTGAAATGCAGTGGAGAAAACAGGCTCACTGCAGCCTGGACATCATGGGCTCAAGCAATCCTCCCGCCTCAGCCCCCAAGGATTGGGGATTACGTTGATGCACTACCACATCCAGTAATGTTTTGTCTATACAGACAAGATTTCTCCATGTTTCCCAGGCTGGTATCAAACTCCTGAGTTGGGGTGATATGCCCACCTCAGCCACACAAAATGCTGGGATATAAAAACTGAGCTATCACGCCTGGACAGAAACTGTTTCTTGTGTTGCTACTGTGAAGATACACATAACTAGTGAGTTGTATCCTTTCACTTAATCCTCACAATCCTACATTATAGGTGAATGAAAACACAACTTCGTAACATAAATAACTCACTTGAAAATCGAAGTTGGTAACTTCTCCCTTTAAAATTATTTGCAACCTTACCCTATAAAAAATTTTGATCTTGTCAAAATTTTCTCATAAAAATACATCACCTTTACAGATTATTCTATTAATTTTAAGAATTATGGACTGTAAAACTCTGGATCTTCATATATTTCATTTTTTTAGGTTACATGATCAGGCAAATTAATTGGTTTACTTATTGGGGTCCAAACCTTTTCATTTTTATCATTAGATGATA